>NT_187658.1:0-190783 GCF_000001405.40 Homo sapiens | reverse complement strand
TTTTGATTTTCAATGTCAAAGGCTGACCTCAGGAGTCAGCTTTTGCAACTCTTGTCCCCTCTTGGTTTATAATTATTTAGCAAAGTATGAGGCCTCTTCAACTATCGGTCCATCAACCCATTTAAATGAGGCTGTTACTGTCACCACTCCATTAAATCTGACATTTGCAAGATCACCGATAAGTCTGTGTTGCCAATGGTTAGTTTTCATGTTGCATGCTCTATGAGCAGCACTGAACCTGGTTTATTTGCATTTCAGGATGCTGCCCTCTCCTGATTTTATCCTTGTTCACTGGCACAATTTCTTAGTCTCCTTTGCTAGTTCTTCCTCTTGTCTGTAAACTGAAAATATCAGATTGCCCAAGGTCTAAATTCTTCAATCTCTAATCAATTATGTCTGGTTTTTTTGGTGATCTCATGCAGTCTCCTTACAGATAATGTAGCCACATGGTTCAATAGAGAGGAATAAGGCTGATTATTCATATATGTTATTTATTTATATACATATAGTTACATATATCAAATTATGTAACCCTTTTTTTCAAATGTCAAAGTTACATTTAAAAGTCACAATACTAAAAATCTATGGAGAAGGTCGGAGCATCAATAATGTTTTTACTTGAATTTCTGCTAAATCAGAGTGATGGTGACCAGATAGCTAATTAAGTTTTATTTAAAATAGCCATGTAGATTGATAGGCAGGGGATTATCATTATAGAAAAAAATGATATAAGTAAGGAAATATACAGATAGAATAATGATTGATTAACCCATTTTGACTTATTGTACTTGGTACAGTTAATGTCTTAGTATCTCAGTAATCTGTTTTTATATTTTTCTCTATGATCAATTAATTATGAGTTAATTTTTATATATGGTATGAAATAATGGTCTACACTCATGTTTTTATCATTCTGTTTTTACTCCCACTTCTTAGGTAAGTTCATCTAGTCATAACCTTAGTTACTTTCTGTGTGCTGTTGATGCCAATATTTAATTCTTCAGCTCAGAAGTCAATCCTGGTCTCTAGAATCCTTTCTCTAAGAAGTCATTTGACATCTTCATTTGGATGTCGTAACAAGAACTTGAACTAACATGTCCAAATCAAAATAGTGATCTTCCCTCTAGTCTCCAGCGTTGTTTCTTCTATAGCCTTTCCCTCTTCTGTTAATGACCACTTCAGTCTTTCAGATGCTTAGACCAAAAACACGGAGTTAACATTTTCTCTCTTTCAGAACTCATCTCTAAGGCATCAGCAAATTTTGTTGGTTCTACCCTCTTGTTGGTTCTACCCTCAAAAACATACAGAATCCAATCCCTTGTCATCACTTTTGCCATACTCATCTAAACTGCTGCCATACCTAGCCAAGATAATTGCCATCAACTCCTAATTATTCTTTCTAGTTCTGCACATCATTTTCTCCTGATGTACTCTCAAGATAGCAGCCAAAGAGAGCCTATGAAGATGCAAATTTGATCATGCCATTCTTCAGCTTTAGATTTTTCAGTGGCTTCTCATCTCATTAGAGTAAGGCCAAAATCCTTACAAAGTCCTATAATCATTTGAATGATCGGATTTTGTCTGCCTGTCTGTCCTAAAATGCCTGGCTATCCCATGCTAGCAACACTGGACTTTGTGTAATTTCTTGAATGTACCAAGAATTGCCTCAGGGACTTCGTACTTGTGTCCCTTCTTCTCGGAATGCTCTTTCTCAGAAATCAACACTAAACACTATCACTCATCAAACATCACTGAATCATTGAGGCCTCCTTGATTTGATCTTTGTATATGGTGATAAATAGGCATCTAGTTTCATTTTTCTGCAAATGGATATCCAATTTTCCCAGCACCATTTAGTGAAGAGACTGTCCTTTCCCCAGAGTATGTTCTTGGCACCTTTGTCATGAGTTCTCTATAGGTGTGGATTTGTTTCCACATTCTCTATTCTATTTCGCTGCTCTATGTGTCTGTTTTTATGCCAGTACCATGCTGTTTTGGTTACTATAGCTCTGTAATATACTTTGAAGTCAGGTGATGTGATTCCTCCAGTTTTGTTCTTTTTGCTCAGGATAACTTTGGCTATTCTGAGACATCCGTATATTTTCAGAAGCCATTAAAATTTAGATGAGATAACTAAAACCAATTAAAAACAAATGCCACAGGATATCAAAGACCAATCGAAAATCTGAAAAGTAGGTAGAGGAAAAACTTTATGTAAAAAGAAACAACTGTCTAAATGACAATCTTATTTTCAACAGACAAAATTGAAGCTAGAATTCAATGGAATCATGTCTTCAGTGTGTTTCAAAACCATAGCGGACTTTAACAAATAGAAATTCAAAAGAATATTTTTTAGATAAAAGGAAAATTACTAAAAATATAAAGCTGAACATGCATGAAGGAATAATAAATAATAGAAGTGGTAAATATGTGCATAAGTCTAAATAAATTTTGACTGTATAAAGTGGTGGTGTCTTTTTGGGTTAAGTATTTAATAAGATATATAGAAATAGCCATATATAGTCTGTAAGTAAAGGTATCAAAAAGTGAATTTAGTTAATTTAAATTTGGAATTTTCTATGTCTGTGAAGAGAATTTGAAAGCTGTATTTGATGACCCTGTAATTATCTTTCTATGTATATATCCAAAGGAAATGAATCAAATGATATATGAAAGAATGGTCATACTAGAATTATTCATAACTCTTCAAAAAAGAAACCCCCCAAATATGTATCAACTAAAGATGAATGAATCATTACAACACATTCATACAATGGAATAATATAGAGAAGTGAAAAGAAATGAATCACATAAAGATGCAAGTATGTGAGTAAATTTCAGAAACGTAAAGGTGAGTCCAAGAAGCCATGAACAGGAACATACAGGACTACACCTACATATGGCTTAAAGGTTTAAAGTAGGTAAAACCGTATCATAGAGTTTAGGGTTGCATACCTAGTTGTTAATGTATAAAGAAAATCAAGGCCAGGCGCGGTGGCTCACGCCTGTAATCCCAGCACTTTGGGAGGCCGAGGCGGGTGGATCACCTGAGGTCAGGAGTTCAAGACCAACCTGGCCAACATGGCAAAACCCTGTCTGTACTAAAAATACAAAAAGTTAGCTGGGTGTGGTGGCATGCGCCTGTAGTCCCAGCTACTTGGAAGGCTGAGGGAGGAGAATTGCTTGAACCCGGGAGGTGGAGGTTGCAGTGAGCTGAGATCGCGCCACTGCACTCCTGCCTGGGTGATAGAGCGAGACTCTGTCTCAAAAAAAAAGAAAATCAAGGAAATGATCATTCTAAATTATGGCTATTGCTCTCCTCAGGGTATGTGAAGAAAGGTGTAGGGGCTTGGAGAGTGGCATGGAGGTGGACCTAGGCTATTTGCAATGTGACATGTTTTGCCCTGCTTGATGGTTGCATGAGTGTTTATGACACATTGCTATGTTTACCATCTTAGTTTTCACCCATTTCTAAGTGTGCATTATAATTGTATTTAAAAATTATTAACTGGAAAAATGCTCCATAAAGAATATTAATTATTCTGCTCATTGTATACCTTGCAAAAAATTCACCATTTATACACATTTTTATACAACTCTTAGAGAGTTGAAGTAGGAACTTTATTTTAGCTGCAACATATGGAAATTTCAGATGATGCTACCTGCAGCACACAAATCCTTTCAAACATTTTTTTATTACCTTTAATTATCTACCTCACGTGACAAAACTTTGCCACTCCCCATCTATTTTTCTTTTGGCTCCTGAATTCCTGACAAAACAGGGGCAAATATATTTCCCCACACTCTTGGTGTAGCATAGTAGCTGTACCAGTTAGGTTTTTCTACTAGAGAAACCCTCCAAAACTACGTTAGATATTTTTATCTCATATATCTTTGGATTCAGGTTTTCTAAGCTGGGTTTGGTGGATAGCTCTGGTGACTTGAGATGGGCCAAGTTCTGCATCTTGGAGCTAGTTAGACTTTGGCCAATTTAGGATGGATCAAGTGCAGGCAAACTGACTCCATTAGTTTTCATTCTCATTCTGAAAACAGTGTACTAGCCAGGTGATAATCTCATGATCAATGGAAAAGAGCAAGAAACCCCAATATGGAAGCCATCTCAAACCTCGGTGTGAAATCTACCAATTTTCTGTTCATCAAAGAAAGTTGTGTGAGTGAGCTCCGAGTCCAGGGGACAGATAATCAACCTGCTTATGGTGGGAGGATACTGCAAAATTATGTGTCATAGGGTGTGGTACTCAGGAATATTTACAAAATTGTTGAACATTTTAATTAAATAATAAATACTTAAACATTAAATAGACTTGAGAGTAAGTTTACCAAATGCTTAAGCATGAAAGATATGTTTGATGTTTGATACATTTTTTTGGGGGGGGTCTGAAAACCCTCAGTTTTCACTGGGAAAATAGGACTAATTTCACGTGGATGGCCTCCAGGAGACTTACTTCCCATTTTGGAAAGTATAAGAAAATAATTCCTTCCATCTCTTAGGGGTGTCACAGTCTCTCTCTCTCTCTCTCTCTCTCTTTCTGTGTTTGTATCTATTTATGAACATGGTAACAATAAATTCACACAAAAGTATTGGGTTAGCAGCAACCAGATTTTAAGGTGTTTTGGTCTTCTTATGGTTCCCAAGAAAACCTTGGATGATTTTGATTTAAAAGTTTGGATTCTGTCTGTTTAAATGTAGCATAAATAGTAAATCCGTTATGGTGGTGATCCTAGTTATGACTAAGGTCTTTTAAAGAACTTAGACATTTACTGTATGAACGATGGACTCGGGGGTAAAATTTCCCTATCTAACAGCTGAAGTTGCTGAACACAAATTACGTATCGGTTAAACAAGGAAAACATTGCAAAATATTGAAAGAGAATATGTCTTTATTTGCATGCTGGTAAATGAAAATTTAGGTTTCACTTCAACTTCATTATGAATAATTCAAGCCCATCACAAGAACGGACATTGAATGAATGAGTTAATTTGAGCTGTTTTGAAAATAAGAATGTTTTCCATAAAGATGACATCAAACTCATCCATTAGCATAAGCTGGTACTTTCTTGTTTGACACTGGTCACAGTATTTAAAAGTAAAAAGAATGTTACTGCACATTCAGAAATCAGATGCACATAAAATTTAAGGTCAGAGTATTAAAGAAATCACAACCAGTGATATTAGGCTTGCATTTTCTTTCTTTTTTTCTGCTCAGATATGATAACTTTTCTATACATTTTTTTTTCAATTCTAATAATGGTTTTATTTGTTCTCGGAAACTTTGCCAATGGCTTCATAGCACTGGTAAATTTCATTGACTGGGTGAAGAGAAAAAAGATCTCCTCAGCTGACCAAATTCTCACTGCTCTGGCGGTCTCCAGAATTGGTTTGCTCTGGGCATTATTATTAAATTGGTATTTAACTGTGTTGAATCCAGCTTTTTATAGTGTAGAATTAAGAATTACTTCTTATAATGCCTGGGTTGTAACCAACCATTTCAGCATGTGGCTTGCTGCTAACCTCAGCATATTTTATTTGCTCAAGATTGCCAATTTCTCCAACCTTCTTTTTCTTCATTTAAAGAGGAGAGTTAGGAGTGTCATTCTGGTGATACTGTTGGGGACTTTGATATTTTTGGTTTGTCATCTTCTTGTGGCAAACATGGATGAGAGTATGTGGGCAGAAGAATATGAAGGAAACATGACTGGGAAGATGAAATTGAGGAATACAGTACATCTTTCATATTTGACTGTAACTACCCTATGGAGCTTCATACCCTTTACTCTGTCCCTGATATCTTTTCTGATGCTAATCTGTTCTCTGTGTAAACATCTCAAGAAGATGCAGCTCCATGGAGAAGGATCGCAAGATCTCAGCACCAAGGTCCACATAAAAGCTTTGCAAACTCTGATCTCCTTCCTCTTGTTATGTGCCATTTTCTTTCTATTCCTAATCGTTTCGGTTTGGAGTCCTAGGAGGCTGCGGAATGACCCGGTTGTCATGGTTAGCAAGGCTGTTGGAAACATATATCTTGCATTCGACTCATTCATCCTAATTTGGAGAACCAAGAAGCTAAAACACACCTTTCTTTTGATTTTGTGTCAGATTAGGTGCTGAGTAAAAGA
Organism: Homo sapiens; assembly: GCF_000001405.40. Taxonomy (NCBI): domain Eukaryota; kingdom Metazoa; phylum Chordata; class Mammalia; order Primates; family Hominidae; genus Homo; species Homo sapiens. Next base: position 184,645 of record NT_187658.1, on the reverse strand, counting down.
CCTGAAACTCTCAACTCTCTAGATTCACAAGTGGGACATTGTGTGTGTATTCTAGGAGAAAACAAACTGATAGTGTCTGGAACATTTTATACTTTTTACTGTTTTTTCTGTAGTGTATGTTTTTGAGTATTTTCTGAAAGCATACCTAGAAAAGTCTTTTACCTAAAGTTAGTCTAAAAGTGTATCTATGTGTGTGCATCTGTATATGAAAGACTTAAAAGACATTGACAATAACATAATGTTAATCATATTTTCACAAGATGCCAAATTATAGAAAATATGGTAAGAAGTTTTTCAGAATCATGAACCCATGTATATTTCACATATACATTTCATATTATCATGTTTCACTTGAAAACTGTGTGATCTTTACTTATAATTGTTAAGAAGTGACACATTATCTCAAAATCTTTGCTCTTTTCCACTGATTTTTACCACACATATGTACCACAGTGTGCTTAAACATCTAAATTTTTTGATAGTAAGCACACTCAATTCTAAATCAATAATGAGGTTTCATCTTTGGGGTAGTTTTTATTTCATCATGAATTCTAATTTTATGTTTAGTTTATAGCCAGCATAATTATTTTCAGAAAAAGATGCACAGAATAATATTCAAGGATGACAAATATATTTAGAACACATTTTGTATATGTCTACCATAAACAGTACTGAGGAATAATAGACTTAATACAAATATGTGAACATTTGAGAAAAAAGTCATTTCTATAATAAGGATGAAGAAAGAAACACCGTGATGACTTATGTTGTCATAAGTCTCAACATGCAGTTAGAAAAGTCATTTCTTCCAGTTTTTGAGTTAAAGAAAACCTTTTTTGAAGTTGAGATCTGATGTCAAGTATTTCAGGTTTTTTTTTCTAAACCACCTCAGAGTCCCTGAATTGCCAATGATCTCCTCTATCTTCCATACTTGAAATTCTTTTTAAACTTCACATAAAAGAACTTGAGTCTTCCCTACCTTAGAAAAATACTCTATGTAAAAATACTATAGAAATTATAAAAATCATTTGAATTAAACTTTTTGCAAATGTTAAAATGGCATCTATGAAATCTATGTATTAATGATAGAAAACATCTAAAATATATGTTGTATTATAATCTAGTTGCAAATAATACAATGAGACAGTGTGTTGATATATTCAGTAATAGCAAGTTCTATTATAGGAAGAAAATGTATAACATCATTAAACAATTAAATTCTATAAGCTGTATTAATTCTTGGAGTTATGAAATTTTAACAATATTATCTAAACCTTGGGACAAATCATCTCTACATCTGATTTAGTTATTTGTTTGTTTATCATATATCTTTCCTGGTACAATGTAAGCACCATAAAAGCAGAGATCATATAGATCTTGCTTACTGTTGACTCCCAGGGCCTAAAAGACAACACATAGAATAGGTATTTAAGAATATTTTGATGAACAAGTAAATTGGTGAATAAAGCAGTAAACTAACTATATGGGAGTGGCAAACCAATGAAAATGAAACTTCATCACAAAATCCAAAGTTGCATAAATTTTTATTTTCTGGTTTCAACTTGAGGTTACAGAATTATCTAAGAAGAAGTATTTCTCAGAGCAGAAGTATGGCCATTATACAATTGTAGGGGAAATACCACTCTAAGATAGCCCTGATGAAGCCATATTCGATGTGTGATGGGAAGATAATGTGGAACATCAAAATCAGCTTGTACCTATTGTGATACATTTTAAAAAGCACATCAATATAAAAGATTTTGGTATCTTTGCATACAATTTTTCAGTTGTGAATGATATATTTGTATTGTGATATTTCCAGCTGGTTAGTGTATAAACAAAAATGGCATTTCATTAAAAAAAAACTGAGTTAGTTACCAACTACCTTACTAAAACGTGACTTTTATAGAATATTTTAAAACCCTTTCTAAATGAACATTTAAATTGCCATATTAAAAACCCACAGAAAAATGCATAAATAACAATTATAACACTAAACGAGTATCTTAGCCTTGGGTGTCTAGAACTAGAGCCAATGTCTGATGTTAAAGTGATAACATTTATTTGGAAGATAAGTCCAGGGCAGCAATGGCCAGGACATGTGGAAATTGAGGCAAAGCAAATGTGAAACCATGTCTTGTGATGTATGATATGACTCTGCTGATGACCACTTCACAATGAGATGAGAGAGACAGCATGGTGGTCATCAGATGCGTGGACTTGACTCCCAGTACTTTTCCAGAAGGGCTGCAAGGGGAAACCACAGCCGGCATTAGTCCACGGAAGAGAAAGAGAAGAGAAAATGTATCTGCTCAGCTGTCTTCTGTCTTCTATTTCCCATTGGCCAGGGTTTCCCTGAGGCAGAACTACCATCTCTGCTGTTCTGCGTTCCATCATCCAGTCCCTTGGTGGTAGTTATGAAAGCCAAACCTCATGCCCCCAGTGTGGTGTTCCATTGAAGTCCCAAATGGAAGGATGATCTGGATCAAGCAAGGTGCTGACCAAGAAAAGAGAAGACAGTCAAGATAATCTGAGGAAGGATATGTTTGTGGGCAATACTGTCCACTCCTTGTGCAACTCAGATTGGCTCATGCCCTCCAATCATGGCTGGCTTTATAGGCATATGACTTCACAGTTGCACAGGGTCTTGTGCTTAGAAGTGCTTATGCTTAGAGGGGCTTTATGCTTGGATTAATCTTCTGCACTTGCTGTTTTGTTTTTCAGACAGAAGGTAGTCCTCTGCTGGAGAAGGAATAGTCTTCCACTAATTCGCTAGGAGTTTGCTCTCCCCACTCCTATGGGCTTGTGAGAGGCATGCACAGAGTCCTATAATGCCCACTATGCATGCCTGTAGCAACTTTGAATTCTGTTACATCATCTGGCACAATGGCCAAGCAACTTGGGCCAGACTCTATATCTGCTATAGAGCCCGTTTTTGTTTCGGGTTTGACTTGAGACAAGCAGCCCTTGCAAACTCCTTTAGTGAGTCAGAGAAATATCCTTAAATGTGGTATATGTTGAATTCAAAACCCCAATAAGCCCCCATAAAACTGTATTTCCCTTTTAGTGATAGGAAATATATATATATAGGGCAACATGCCATTTACTGTAAAAAGGATGTTTTGACAAAAGGACCAGAAGCATTGGACCCCTATAAACTTCATCTATGTTATAGGTCTTTGAATCTGCTGAAGTTTATGTCTCTTCTTCCAGTATTTTACTTCTGTTCAATGTTATAATATTTTACTATACTTAAGGAACTTGCCACTTCCTGCTTATGGGTACCACTTTATGTAATATTATTAATATATTGAATTAACATGATGTTTTGCAAAATGTCAATTAAACTGAAAGCAGAAGTGACAGCCCTGACAGAAAACAGTGAAGCAGTGTTCTTGTTTTTACCACACCAAAGCAAATTGTTTTGATTTTCCTCCACAATGTGTGTAGATTAAAAAGCATTAGCTAAATCAAAAGCCGCATACAAAGTGCTGGAAACCACATTCTGCTCAGTGAAGATACCACATCCTAGAGCGAATGTGCAAGTGTGACTTAAGTTTATGCTAATGTGCATTCATCCTATAATCCATCTGGTTTTGACAGAGGCCAGTTAGGTTAACTGAATAAAGATATAAAATGGACGACCGCCCCCTGGAACTTTTGAGTTTTTTGTTGTGGCAGCGACCAATTCTGTTTCCTGGAGAATGCAGTTATTATGTTTTATTCATTTTATTGCCAGGAAAGTAGAATTTCAGAAGCCTCCCCTTGGTCCTGCTTACAATAATGTCCCTTGGTATACAGGTCAGGAAGAAATGTAAGAGTCCTGACAGCTGTTGAACCTGTCAACTTCACTTACACTTTCAGGAAGGGGTAACTACGATGAACTCATTAGAACCCCTTTGGGTTGGACATGGGCCAAAGCTCTATGTACCATCTGATCTTCAAAAACTCATACTCCAGTCCTATTGAGGCAGCTCATACCTGTAATCCTAATAATTTAGGAGGCCGAAGTGGGAGGATCACTTTAGGCTGAGAGTTTCAGATCAGCCTTGGCAACATAGTAAGAATCTGTAAAAAAAAAAAAAAAAAAAATTAGTTGTTTGTGGTAGTGTGTGCCTGTAGTTACAGCTACCCAGAAGACTCAGGCAGGAGGATTGCTTTAGCCCAGGAATTCGAGTTTGCAGTGAGCTATGATGGTGTCATTGCACTCCAGCCTGGGCAATCAAGCAAGATCTTGTCTCTAAAAAGAAACAAACAAAAACAACAAACAAAAGCCCAAAAAGGGCCTGGTGCGGTGGCTCATGCCTGTAATCCCAGCACTTTGGGTGGCTGAGTGGTTGGATCACTTGAGGTCAGGAGTTCGAGATCAGCCTGGCCAACATGGTGAAACCCCACCTCTACTAAAAATACAAAAATTAGCCAGGTGTGGTGGTGTTGCACCTGTAATCCAAGCCACTTGGGAGGCTGAGGCATGAGAATCACTTGAACCCGGGAGGCAGAGGTTGCAGTGAGCTGAGATCATGCCACTGAACTCCAGCCTGGGCGACAGAGCGAGTCTCCACCTCAAAAAAAAAAAAAAAAAATCCAGAAGTAAAAATTTGCCACCGTATCCCATGGACCACTGTGTCTTTTGGGGTACCCAGATATTAGTGTTAGTTCAGGCTCCAAACTTAAAAGTCTCAGATAATATGGACGTGTGTTCTGTTCTCTGAGGACTGTTTTCTGGGGAATAGCTACAGGTCTTTGAGAAAGCAACATATGATACATCCTGAGTGTTCTTGCAGTGCATTTTCAATGTCCATCATCAAGAGGACTTAAGATTCCCTTCAATCATTGAATTCTGCTTCTCTGAATTGGCTCAGCCCTGAGAACTGGCTGAGGGTTTTCCATTTTCAATGTTAAAGGCTGACCTCAGGAATCAGCTTTTTCAACTCTTTCCCCCTCTTGGTTTATAATTATTTAGCAAAGTATGAAGCCTCTTCAACTATTGGCCTATCAACCCATTTCAATAAGGCTGTTGTCACCACTTCATTGAATCTGACATTTGGAAGATCACCAGGGAGTCTGTGTTGCCAGTGGTCGGTCTTCATGTTGCATGCTCTGTGAGCAGTACTGAATATAGTTTATTTGCATTCCAGGATGCTGCCCTCTCCTGATTTTTTCCTTATTTACTGGGCACCACTTCTCAGTCTCCTTTGCTAGTTCTCTCTTGTCTCTAAATTGAAAATATCACACTGCCCAAGGTCTCAGTTCTTCAACCTTTAATCAATCGGGCTTGTTTTGTTGGTGATCTCATGGAGTCTCCTTACTGATAATGTAGCCAAATGGTTCAATAGAGAGGAATAAGGCTGATTATTCATATGTATTTATATATATTATTTATTTATGTACATCTATTTACATATTTCTCATTATATAAAGCTTTTTTCTTCAAATGTCAGTTACATTTAAAAGTAACATGACCAAAAATCTAGGGAGAATGTGGGAGGATCAATAATGTTTTCACTTGAGTTTCTGCCTATTCAGAGTGATAGTGACTCAGTATCTAATTTAGTTTTATTTAAAATAGCAATGTAAATATTGATAGATTGATAGGCAGGGGATAATCATTATGGACATAATGATCTAAGTAAAGAAATACATAGATAGAATTATGATTGATTAACCCATTTTTTATTTCTTGCATTTGGTACAGTTAGTGTCTCAGTATCGCAGTAATCATAGTTCTTAAGTTTTTGCTCCATGATCAATGAATTATGAGTTAATTTTTGTGTGTGGTATAAAATAAGGGTCTAAATTTATGTTTTTTCTTTCTCTTTTGGCTCTTACTTTTTAGGTAAGTTCATCTGGTCATGGCCTTACTTTCTGTGTGCTGATGATGTGAACATTTAATCCTTCAGCTCAGAACCCAACCCTGGTCTCCAGAATCCTTTCTCTAATAGCATATTTGACATCTTCATTTGGATGTCTGACAAGAACTTAGAACTAAGTTGTCTAAACCAAATTACTCATCTTTCCTTCCATCCCCAAATCTGTTTCTCCTACAGTCTTTCCTTTTGTTAATGAAGACTTCAGACTTTCAGATATTTAGACAAAAAACATAGAGTCCACGTTTTCTCTCCTTCACATCTCATCTCAGCAAATTTTATAGACTCTGTCTTCAAAAACATACAGAATCCAATCCCTTGTCGTCACTTCTGCCATACTCATCTAAATTTCTGCATTTCTTGCCAAGATAATTGCTATCAACTCCTAATAATTTTTTCTAGTTCTGCACATTCCCCTGATGTATTCTCAATGTAGCAGCCAGAGAGAGCCTGCAAAAGTGCAAATTTGATCATGCTGTTCTTCTGCTCCAGATTTTTCAGTGGCTTCTCAACTCATTCAGAGTAAGGCCAAAATCCTTACGAAGTCCTATAATCATTTGAATGATCTGTTTTTGTCTGCCTGTCTGTCCTAAAACACACCTGGCTCATCCCATGCTAGCAACATTGGCCTTTGTGTCACTTCTTGAATATGCCAAGCATTGCCTCAGGGACTTCATACTTGTGTCCTTTCTTCTTGGAATGCTCTTTCTCAGATATCAACACTAAACACTACCACTCCTCAAATATCACTAAATCACTAAATCAATCCTGCCTTATTTAAAGAGAAATCTCACTTCTCTCTGCAGTTTTAAATTTTTTTTAGATTTTATTTTAGGTTCAGAGGTATATGTGCAGGTTTGTTATATAAGTAAATTGCATGGCATGGGAACTTGCTGTATAGATTATTTCATCACTGGGGTGATAAGCAGAGTACCTGATAGGTAACTTTTTGATCCTCACCCCCCTCCTGCCCTCCGTCTTCAAGTGGGCCCTGGTGTCTGTAGCTCCCTTCTTTGTGTCCATATGTATTTAATGTTTAGCTCCCACTTGTAAGTGAGAACATGTGGTACTTGCTTTGCTGTTTCTGTTTTACATTCCCACCAGCAGTATGAAAGCATTCCCTTTCATCACAACCTTGACAGAGTCTGTTTTTGTTTGTTTGTTTGTTTGTTTGTTTTGTAATAGGCATTCTGAGGGGTGTGAGAGGTTATCTCATTGTGGTTTTGATTTGCATTTCTTTAATGATTCATTCATATTGAGCATTTTTTCATATGCTTGTTGGCTGTGTCTTCACTTGAAAATTGTCTATGCCTTTTATTCATTTTTAAATGGAGGTGTTTGTTTTTTGCTCGCAAAATCAAGTTCCTTATAGATTCTGAATAGGACTTTGTCAGATGCATAGTTAGCAAAATATTTTCTCCCATTCTGCAGGTTGTCTGTTTACTCTGTTGATAATTTCTTTTCTTGTGCAGAAACTCTTTAGTTTAATTAAGTTTCATTTATCAATTTCTGTTTTTGTTGCAATTGCTTTTGGCATCTTTGTCATGAACTCTTTGCCAGGTCCTATGTCCAGAAAGGTATTTCCTAGGTTATTTTTCAGGTGTTATTTTTCTTTTTACAGTTTTAGGTTTTACATTTTAGTATTTAATCCAGCTTGCTTTGATTTTTGTATATGTATTAGGAAAGTATCCAGTTTGAATCTTCTGCATGTGACTAGCCAGTTATCTCAGCATTATTTGTTGAATAGGGGGTCTGTCCCCATTGCTTGTTTTTCTTAACTTTGTTGAAGATCAGATGGCTGTAGGTGGGTGGCATTATTTCTGGGCTCTCTATTCCATTTCCTTGGTCTATGTGCCTGTTTTTGTACCATTGCCATGCTGCTTTGGTTACTGTTGCCTTGCAGTATGGTTCAAAGTTAGGTAATGTGCCTCCAGCTTGTTCTTTTTCCTTGGGATTGCCATGGCTATTTGGGCTCTTTCTTTTTTTTTTTTTTTTATTCCATATGAACTTTAAAATAGTTTTTTTCTACTTTGGTGAAGAATGTCACTGGTAGTTTGTCAGAAATAGCACTGAATCTGTAAATTGCTTTAGGCAGCATGGGCATTTTAGCAGTATTGATTCTTTCTATCCATGAGCTCGGAATCTTTTTCCACTTGTCTGTGTCATATTTGATTTCTGTGAGCAATGTTTTGTAATACTCTTTGTAGCGATATTTCACCTCCCTGGTCAGCTGTATTCCTCTATATGTTGTATTCCTTTGCTGCTATTGTGAAAGGGATTGCTTTCTTTATTTGTCTCTGTTTGGATGTTGTTGATATATAGGAATGTTACTAATTTTTGTACATTGATTTTTGTATCCTGAGAATTTGCTGAGTTTGTTTGTAAGATCAAGGAGATTTTGGGCAAATACTGTTGGGATTTCTAGGTATAGGATTACATTGTCTGCAAACAGGGATAGTTTGACTTCTTCTCTTCCTACTTAGATGACTTTTATTTCTTTCTGTTGCCTGATTGCTTTGGCCAGGACTTCCAGTAATTGATTAAGAGTGGTGAGGGAAGATATCCTTGTCTTGTTCCTATCTTCCAGGGGAATACTTCCAGTTTTGCTCATTCGGTATGATGTGGCTTTGTTTGTCATAGGTGGTGCTTATTATTGTGAAGTATATACCTTCAATTCCTAGTTTGTTGAGAGTTTTTAATATGAAGAGATGTTGAATTTATTGAAAGCCTTTTCTGCATCTATCGAGATGATAATGCGATTTTCGTTAATTAGTTCTGCTTATGTGATGAAGCACACTTATTGATCTGCATATGCTGAAACAACCTTGTATGTTAGTGATAAAGCCTACTTGATTATGGTGGATTAGCTTTTTGATGTGCTGCTGGATTCAGTTTGCTAGTATTTTTTGAGTACTTTTTCATCTGTGTTTATTAAGGATATTGGTCTGAAGTTTTCTATTTTTTGTTGTGTCTCTGAAAAGTTTAGGTATTAGGGTGCTGCTGGCTTTATAGAATGAGTTATGGAGGAGTCCCTTTTCCTCAGTTTCTTAGAATAGGTTCTGTATAAATCATACCAGTGCTTTGTTATACATTTGATAGAATTCAGCTGTGAATCTGTCTGGTCCTGGGCTTTTTTTGGTTGGCAGGCTTCTTATTACTGATTCAATTTTGGAACTCATCATCGGTTTATTTAGGGATGCAATTTCTTCTTAGTTCAGTCTTGGAGGTTGTATATGCCCAGGAATTTATGCATTTCTTCTAGGTTTTCTAGCTTGTATGCATAGAGGTGTTGATAGTAGTTTGTGAAGGTTGTTTGCATTTCAGTGGGGTCAGTGGTAATGTCCCCTTTGTCATTTCTGAAAGTGTTCATTTGTATATTCTCTCTTTTTTCTTTATCATTGTGGCTAGTGTTCTATCTATCTTAATTTAAAAAAAAAAACTCCTCAGCCCACTGATCTTTTGTATGATTTTATGCATTGCAATTTCCTTCACTTCAGCTCTGATGTTGGTTATTCCTTGTCTTCTGTTAGCTTTGGCATTGGTTTGCTCATGGTTGTCTAGGTCTTTTTGTTGGGATGTTAGGTTGTTAATTTGAGATCTTTCTAACTTTTCAATGTGGGCATTTAGTGCTACAAACTTTCCTCTTAACACTGCCTTAGCTATATCCCAGAAATTCTGGTATGTTGTATCTTTTTTCTCATTAGTTTCAAAGAATTTCTTGGTTTCTGCCTTAATTTCATATGTACCCAAAATTCATTCAGGAGAGGGTTGTTTAATTTCCATGTAATTATATGGTTTTAAGCTATTGTCTTAGTATTTACTTACATTTTTATAGGACTGTGGTCCAAGAACGTGACTGGTATATTTTTTGTTGTTTTGTATTTGCTAGGAATTGTTTTATGTTAGATTGTGTGGTTCATTTTAGATTACATGCCATGTACAGATGAGAAGAATGTGTGTTCTGTTCTTTTGGGGTGAACTGTTCTGTGGTGGTCTATTAGGTTCATTTGGTCAAGTGTTTAGTTCAGATTCTGAGTACCTTTGTCAGTTTTCTGTCTTGATCATCTGTCTAATGCTGTCTGTGGGGTGTTGAATTCTCCCACTAGTGTTGTGTGTTTATCTAAGTCTTTTCATAGGTCTCTAAGAACTTGCATTATGAATCTGGGTGTTCCTATGTTGGCTGCATATATATTCAGAATAGTTAGGTCTTCTCGTGAATTGAGTCTTTTACTTTACATAATGCCCTTCCTTGTCTTTTTTGATCTTTGTTGATTTAAAGACTTTTTTTATGAAATTAGAATAGTAACTCTGTTTTTTTTTTTCTATTTTTTATTTGCTTGGTAGATTTTTCTTCATTCCTTTACTTCGAGCCTATGCGTATCATTACACGTGAGATGGGTCTCTTAAGGACAGCATACCATTAGGCTACGCTTTTTTATCCAACCTGCCACTCTTTGCTCTTTAACTGGGGCAATTAGCCTTTTTACATTCGAGGTTAGTGTTGATATGTGAAGATTTGATTGTTTCATCATGTTGTTAGCTGGTTATTATGCAGATTGGGTTGTGTGGTTACTTTATAGTGTTACTGGTCTATGTACTTAAGTGTATTTGTGTTGTCAGTGAAGATCTTTTCTTTCCATGTTTAGTACTCCCTTCAGGACCCCTTGTGAGGCACGGCTGGTGGTAATGAAATCCCTTAGCATTTGCTTGTCTGAAAAGATCTTATTTCCCCTTCACTTATGAAGCTTAGTTTGGGTGGATACGAAATTCTTGATTAAAAATTCTTTTTAAAAAACAAAACTGCTGAATGTAAGCCCCCATTCTCTTTCTGTTTGTAGGGCTTCTACTAAAAGGTCCATTGTTAGCCTGATGGGGTTCCCTTTGTAGGTGATCTGTCCTTTCTCTTCCAGTTGACTTTAGCATTTTTTCTTTTATTTTGAGCTTGGAGAAGCTGATGACTATGTGCCTTGGGGATGGTCTTCTTGTGAGTTTTTAGTTCAGTCAGATCAGTTTGGTTCCTTCGTTGATTCTTTCCCCAGCTTGCTCAATTATGCCGTGAATACTTTCCATTGTGTTCTGAAATTCTTGATGTTAGTTTTTCAGTTCTGTCAGAACACTTTTTTTTCTTTTTTAAAATAACCGTTTTGTATTTCAACTTCTGCATCATTTTATTGCATTCCTTAAAAACTTTGGATTTGGTTTTTACTTTCTCCTGAATCTCATTGATCTTCATTCCCATCCATATTCTGAATTCTATTTCTGTCATTTCTGCCTTTTCAGCCTGGTCAAGAACCATTGCTGCTGAACTAGTGTGGTTGTTTGGAGGTAAGAAGACATTCTCTGGCTTTTCGTGTTGCCAGAGTTCTTGTGCTAATTCTTTCTCATCTGTGTGGGCTGATGTTCCTTGAATCTTTGAAATTGCTGTACTTTGGATGGGTTCTTTTTTTTTCTTTTATCTTCTTTGATACCCTTGGGGGTTTGATTTCGGAATAAGGTGGGTTTCATTTACTAGCTTTGTTTATGGTAGATTTTGGGGGTGCCAAGGATCAGCTCAGCACTCCCGCGCTGAATGCCGTAACTCTGGGAGGCTAGTATTGGGCCCCTGGCTTTGCTCTCTTTCCCCTTAAGGTTGGGAATCTGCTATGCTGGAAGGGCTATTGTGTTCCTGGATTGCTGGTTACGATACTCTGAAGGATGGTGCCAGCCTAAGCACTTTGTTGGGCAGTGGCATTGTGGCTCATCCTTGTTCACACATGCCAGCAGCATCAGTAGTGTGGCAGAGTACACACTCGTAGACTGGGGTGGGGTGCAGGTGGATCCAAGGCTGCTAGCCTCTATATGGACATTGGCAGTAGCCTAAATTCATCTTTATGCATGAGAATATTCATTTTGTCTAGCATCATTTATTGATAAAAATGATTCTTATTTAATTGAAATGGTATGGTTTTTGAAATTAGCTGATAATAAATGTTGTTACTAATTTGTGGACTCTTAATTGTGTTTCATTATTCTTGTCTATAGTATTAAAAATGCCAGTGTCCTGATGATTAGTCCAGCTTTTAGCAAACTTTGAAATGAGAAACTGTAATCCCCCCACTTTGTTCTTTTTAAATTATTTCTCTAGGTGCTCTTGTCACTTGGCATTTCCAGATACATTTTAGGAGTAGTTTTTTATGGTCTACCAAAAAAGCCCGCCAGAATTTGATAGAGATTGCATTAAATATATAAGTTGACTCTTCACCTATAAAGACTCTCCTTGTGCTGGATTTTAGTTTAGCTGGCCCTCCTTGTTTGCACAGCTCTCCGATGAATTGAAAATATAATTTTGGCCTTTTATTTATCTTATCCTAGCTGCTGCAGAAGAATATTTTGCCTGCTGGAACCTGCTGTATCTACTCAAGAGTGGAAGTTTTCACAGGTAACTTCTACATATCAAGTAACACAGGATCAAATGAAAACCTAGCAACACTTGGTTTCTGCCTGTATCAGACAGGTGAAATTGCAAGCAGTTATACAAGTAGTGTACTAACTTCTCATAAAGCCTACTCAAGGAGGGTATTGTTATTGTGTGCGTTTTACAGATGGCTATCCTAAGGCTGATAGTAGTTGTAAAATATAGTCTAAGTTCATATCTATATGAAACAGAGTATCTGGGTTTCTGTCCTGGCCATCAGACTTGAAGATCATTTCTTAGAAACAATTATATTATCAAAACTGAAAAGAAATACAATCCAAGGTTGGAGTCTTATTTTAGCATCTATTAATCTTAAGCCATTAAGTAATCAAAAATAAATTAAAAAGAAAAAAATATATTCAAATATCACATGTAGAGAAGTCTAGTTTCTTCAGTGGAAAACACATGTTTTTTAAGTGCTCAAGGAATATTTACAAAATTGCTTAATATTTTTAATTAAATAATTAATATTTAAAGACTTAATAGACCCAAAAGGATAACTTACTTATAGACCTAAGCATGAGAGATCAGTTTGATAAATATTGAAAATGGGCTAAAAAGCATGAGTGGGAAAATAAGGACTTTTCAACCTACATGACCTCCCTGAAATTTATTCTTCATTTTGAAAATTATAGGACAATAATTTCTCCCATCCATGTGGTGTGTGTGTGGGCGGGCGGGGGGGGTGGGTTGTGGTGCTTTGTACGTGTTAATTGGCTTGTTACCAATAAGGTTATACAGAGGTATTAGCAGCAACCAGATTTTAAAGAGTACTGGCCTTCCTGGGGTTCCCAAAAAAATCTTGAATGCATTTGATAGGAAAAGTTGGATTCTGTCTACATAAATCTGGTACTGAGGAAAACAAATTCACTTTGGCCATGATTCTAGTTACGACCAAACTCCCTTCAAAAATGTAGATATCCAATATATAATCTATGTATTGGGTTTTAAAATTTTCCTAACAACTGATGTTGCTGAACAAAAATTATGGAGAAGTTAAAGAGGGAAAAAATTGCAAAACAATGAAAGAGAATATGTCTTCATTTGCATGCTTGCAAGTGAAAAATCAGCTTTTACTTCAACGTCATTATGAAAAATTTTATTCAAATTTTTTCAAAAGAAAAAATAGAAAGAACAGTGTATGAATAGTAGTTAACTTGAGCTGTTCTGAGAATAACATATTTTCCATAAAGACAGCATTGAACTCATCTATAAGCATGTGCTGGTGCTTTACTGCTTGACATTGGTCACACAACTGAATTTAAAAGCATCAAAAATATTAGTGCACATTCAGAATTCAGGTACACATAGAGTTTAAGGTCAGGACCTTAAGGGGGATCATGCCCAGTGATATTAGACTTGCCTTTTTTTAAGGTGTGTTTGTTCAGTTCATGGGAAGTTTACTACCAATCATTTTTTTCCATACTAGTAATGGTGGAATTTGTATTTTCCCATGACACCTATATTAAATGTATAAACATTTTTATATTTCAACACTTTGTATGAGTCCTTTCAGGGCCTGTTAAACACTCCAAATTTCCCTTGCAACATGCCAATAACTAATCATATTTTCTCAAAATGATCTGACATAATGTTTGACTGAAGGCATATCTCTGGTATAATTCTATTTGCTGATATCAAATGAGAATTTGAAACTTCATGAAAAATGATTAGAAAATTTAATAATAGAATACGAATAAGTGCATAAAATATACAATTCATTCTTGAGAAATGTGTATAAAATCACAATCATAGAATGATAAAAGAGTAATATGTAATTTTTGAACTAAAGTTACGTTTTAAAATTGAATAGAAAAAGAATTATAAAATGTTAAGTTTAATAATTTTTATATAAATATAAAAGTGTGAAAATTATTCTGATATTACTCATTTTGAAAAGAACAAGAAGTAATGAGAATTTTCAAACACTGCTCCTAGAAGTATAAATTAATATAATTCTTTGGCTTAGTATGGCATTATCTGATGAAGATGAAGGAGCACATCTTAAGACTCAGTACAGGTACTCTTACCAGAAAATGTATACACACACATGAATATCACTGTGTTTTCATAGCTAAAGTTGAGAAGTTTCTCAAATGTCTATCAGTGATAAAATAGATAAATAAATTATGGCATACCTATATAATAGTATAGTACTATACAGTAATCAAAATGAACCAACTAGAGAGACATGTTTACAAGAAATGTATATAACAAAGAAAATAAACAAATTTGAGCTGATTAGATAATACTCACAAGTGTAAGAGGATCTATCCATAGTGAAAAACATTCATTTTAATTCCATTTATATAAAGTTTTCAAAAATATATCTTTAATACATTGCAATTTATTACATTGGTGACAAAACTCTAAAGTGAAACATATGAGTGACTATTACAACAATATGGATAGTAGGGAGGAGGAAAACAAGAGGAGAATGGGATCAACAGAAGGCATATATGGGGAGTGTCTGGATGGCTGGAAAATTCTATTTTTTGACCAAGATGTGGTAAACACGGGGAGTAAAGTTATAACTTTTTCTCTTACTGTGCTTTTAGGTTTTGTTGCTTTCTGTCTGTATGCTATGTTCCACAATAATAAAAATATTTAAAAGGCAAAAAAAGTAAAATAATGAATATAAAATTACACTGAAACTACATATTCTCATAGATAGAACTGTAATTATTAGAGTTTTTGCTGAATAAAGTCAAATAGACTATTATAGTAGTTATAAACACAAGTTAAAATTTTAGGGCCGGGCAAAGTGGCTCACGCCTGTAATCCCAGCACTTTGGGTGGCTGAGCGGGTGGATCACCTGAGGTCAGGTGTTCAAGACCAGCCTGGCCAACATGGTGAAAGCCCGTATCTACTAGAAAATACAAAAAATTAGCTGATTGTGGTGGCGGGCTCCTGTAATCCCAACTACTAGGGAGGCTGAGGCAGGAGAATCGCTTCAACCTGGGAGGCGGAGGTTGTAGTGGGCTGAGATTGTGCCATTGCACTCCAGCCTGGGCAACAAGAATGAAACTCCATCTCAAAAACGAAAAAAAAAAACAAAAAAACTTTTCTTTAATTTTAAAAATAATATATAAGCAAGAACTATAAATTCAAATTCTTAATGCTAATCTTAATTTGAAACATCAAATTTTGAATATTGATACATTGCTGGACACCTTTTGTTCTTATTTCCAATTTATTTACAATGCACAAAGTGACAGAAATTACTGAATTTTCAATAAATTATGGTACTGTAGATATTAAATTATACGGATGATTATCCCTAAATTTATCCTTAAATAAAATAATTTCAGTCATATTGTTACCATTCAAAAATCATAGTATGTGCACACATATATGTTGGAAAAAATATTTTGTTGCTATAATTTTTTGGCTCTCTATTAGAGAAAAAACCAGAAAGTTAAATGTGTTAAAGTGTAAAACTTACTTAGTATAATCTTTGGGTATGTTTTTGTATGTGTAGTGCTGCATTGCTTGCTATAATAAAATACTCCAAGGGACCAGGTGCAGTGGCTCACGTCTGTAATCCCAACACTTTGGGAGGCCGATACAGGCAGATCACCTGAGGTCAGGAGTTCAAGACTAGCCTGGCCAACATGGCAAAACCCCATCTCTGCTTAAAAATACAAAAATTAGCCGGGTGTGGTGGTGGATGCCTTTAATCCCAGCTACTCAGGAGGCTGATGCAAGGAGAATTGCTTGAACCTGGGAGTCAGAGGTTGCAGTGAGCCGAGATTGTACCATGGCACTCTAGCCTGAGCAACAGAGTGAGACTCCATCTCAAAATAAAATAAAATAAAATACTCCATATTTCATCACAGTAGCTGAGAATGCAAATAACCATTTGAAAGAATTTGGCTTGCTAATGATGCTATTGATACATATGATAAATTTTACGTACTGTATAATTGCACAGAGTATTTGTACATGTTCATATGAAAATGCAAAAAAACAAAAAAACAGAAAAACCAAAGAGCAGGTGCTATTTGCTGGAAGACATGTTTGCTATGATTTTTAGAATTTAATAAAAGAAAAAAAATAGCTAGCAAACTTTTGGAAATATGTTGGTTTAAAGTTGTCATTGATGAAATACTATGTGAAGGTGATAGGAGCAGGAGGCTGGGAAATTCTAGACAGAAAAGGGCGGGTCCTCAGCTAAAGCCCCACTCTCAAGCCAAATAGACTGAGACTGTGGCCCAAAGGGAGTACTTCTATCCCTGTTTTCCCACTCAAATGTTGCCTTTTTTGGCCTGCCCCACCCCTCATCCTATGCCCATAAAACCCCAGGCTCCACCGGTAGTGAGAAGTGGCTGAAGATCGAGAGGAGAAGCAGCTCAATGTTGTAGACTATGGTGGGACGTTGGAGAGAAGTGGCTTGACTTCAGAGGGACAGGTTGAAGGCGTGACTTTCGAGAAGAGTCTGGCTGGAGACAGCCGGACTTCAGGGGAAGATTACCTTCCTGCTTCACATTCCCTTTCCAGCTCCCCTTCCTGCTGAGAGTCACTTCCATCAAAATAAAATCTCCCTCATTTACCATTCTCCAATTCGGTTGTGCAACCTCATTTTTCTTGGAAGCTGGACAAGAGCTCAGGAGCCAGGAATGCAGATACGAAAAGTTGTTACACTGAACCTCTGCCCTTGCTGGCAAGAGGCAGCCGCCTCAAGCGAAAAGGCAAAGGGCCCACTGAGCTACTAACACTTAAGACGTCTGCAGATAGCAGAGCTAAAAGAGCACTGTAACACCCTCCCCCTCGAGGTTTCAGGGGTGCGGGCACCCCCCCAGATGCTGCTGCGGGGCCTGCACAGAATTTGTTCCTGCTGGCATCCAAAAGTGCTCCTGCACCTGTTCACCTGTGTGCTCCCTCCCATGAGGGCTGGGCGCAGTGGGTCCCAGCGAGTGGATTTCACCCCTGCCAGCCCTAAAGCAGCTGGCTGGTTCTAGCGTCAGTGAGCCCCAGTTCCCTCCCATGAAGGGGTAAGGGAAATGTCCTCCATCAAAGGTATTATTTCAGTCTAAGCCCTGATGCTGAGAATAATATGAGAATCATAAAGCCAGGAGAAAGAATAATTGTGTTATCCCATTACCCTGAATTGTAGCACTTAGAAAAATGAATGGTCACATTTATTAGCTAGCAGTCTACCTTGTAGCTATCATCATCATCTCTATCTACATCTATCCCATTAAATAATTTACTTTTTGAAATATGTACATTCATAAATTGGATAATGCCTACGTAATTTAAATAAAGAATATCATTATGGGCAAGTTACATTAGTAAACGGTAAAGTTCAAGTCAAGCTAAATACATTTAGATTTAGAAATTAAGTTTAGTTTAGTTTAAAATACATTGCTTAAGAAAATAGTTATTTATGGATGACCTTAAACTAATCCAAGGAACACTATAATAAACATTTAGTTTTTAACGTAAATACAATTCTTCAATCAGAGAGATAAACCATTTCATGATCAATCTATTATTTTTGTTTATTATTTTTATTATTTATTTATTTTTCTTTTGAGACGGAGTCTCGCTCTCTAGCCCAGGCTGGAGTGCAGTGGCTCCATCTCAGCTCATTGCAACCTCCGCCTCTTGGGTTCAAACGATTCTCCTGCCTCAGCCTCCTGAGTAGCTGAGATGACAGGCACGTGCCACCACACCCTAATCTCTTATTTTTAAAAAGAGGATTTTAGGACTAAACAAATCAAATGTAAGTTTCCCCTCACCTCTTTGATCTCTCACTTGAGTAATGATGCAGTTTGAAGGCAAAGAGCCCCATTTCTACATTATAAGCAAAATAAAAGTTAATTCATGGAATACAATGGTGTATTTGTAATTGAGGTACTATATTTTATTTATTGGAATGGCATTTTGAGATCCAGTGCTGTTCATTGAATTTCCCTGTAAGGAGAGTTTGTGGTTTGGACTCATCAAGCTGCTATGCCAAAAACAAAACAAAACAAAACAAAACAAAAAGCTAATCACATGAAATCAATTTCCTGTTTCTTCCAACTTGCAGGATAAGGCCTAGACGAAGCTTTTATTGTATTGTGTGACCCAAGTGTTGGGAAAAGTAGAAAATTGTTACCAGATGTGAAGAAACATTTAGGGGCTTGAAAAGCAGCATGGAGGTGGACCTAGGCTCTTTGCAATGTTCCACGTCTTGCCTTATTTGATGGTTACATGAGTGTTTATAATACATTGCTGTGTTTACCATTTTTATTTTGACTCATTTCTAAGTGTGCATTATAATTTTATTTGAAAATTATTTATTAGGAGAAGTGCACCATAAAAATTATTGATTACTCTGCTCATTATATACCTAGGAAAAAATTCACCATTTATATATCTTTACATACAACTCTAAGAGAGTTGAAGTGGGAACTTTATTTTAGTTACAACATGTAGAAATAAGAGAAGACGCTACCTGAAGTACCCAGATCTTTCCAAAGGTTTTTTTCTACTTTTTTTTTTTTTTTTTTTTTGAGACGGAGTCTTGCTCTGTCGCCCAGGCTGGAGTGCGGTGGCGCCATCTCCGCTCACTGCAAGCTCCGCCTCCGGGGTTCACACCATTCTCCTGCCTCAGCCTCCCAAGTAGCTGGGACTACAGGTGCCCGCCACCAGGCCTGGCTAATTTTTTGTATTTTTTGTAGAGACGGGGTTTCACCGTGTTAGCCAGGATGGTCTCGATCCCCTGATCTCTTGATCTGCCCACCTCAGCCTCCCAAAGTGCTGGGATTACAGGCGTGAGCCACCGCGCCCAGCCTCTACCTTTAATTATCTACCTTGCATGACAAAACTTTGCCATTCCTTATCTATTTTTCTTTTGGCTCCTCTATTCCTGACACAACAAGGGTGGACATATTTCCCACACGCTTGGTTTTGCAGAGTACCTATATCAGTTAGGTTTTTCTGCCAGAGAAACCTCTCCAACACTACATTACATATTGATATCTCACATGTCTTTGGATTCAGTTTTTCTAAGCTGGGTTTGCTGGATGGCTCTGGTGATATGAGATGGGCCAAGTTCTGCATCTTGGAATTAGTTAGAGTTTGGACAAAGTAGGCTGGATCAGGCAAGGACAAACTGACTCCATTATTTTCTCATTCTCCTTCTGGGAACAGAGTAGTAGCCAGGCAATGTTCTCATAATAAACAGAAAAGGAAAAGAAACTCCAATGTGGAAACCATCTCAAACCTCTGTGTGAAGTCTACCAATTTTCTGTTAATCAAAGCAAGCTATGTGAGTGTACTCAGAGTCCAGGGGCAAGGTAGTCACCCTGTGTGTGGTGGGAAAATACTGCAAGATTATATGTCAAATAATGGGATACTCAGGAATATTTACAAAAATGTTGAATATTTTAATGAAATAACAAATATTTAGACATTCAATAGACTTGAGAGTAACTTTACCAAGGGTCTAAGTATGAGAGATATGTTTAATATATTTTTATGGGCTGAAAACCCTGAGTGGGAAAATAGGACTAATTTCACCAGGATGACCTCCTGGAAATGCATTTTCCATTTTGGAAATTATTTTAAAAGTTCATTTTTTCTGGATGGGTATGTGTATGTGTGTGTGTCTGTCTATGTGTGTATGTTTTATGAGCTTGTTAACACTAATGTCATACAAAAGTACTGGTTAGCAGGAATAAGATTTTAAGGTGTATTGGCATTCCCATGGTTCCCAAGAAAATTTTCGATGACTTTGATTAAAAAGTTTGGATTTTGTCTATTTAAATCTAGCATAAAAATTGGTCATGGTGATGATCCTAGTTATAACTAATCTCCCTTTAAGATTTAGGCATTTACTGTGTGAAATATGTGGCACATTTTCCATAACAAACAGCTAAAGTTACTGAACACAAATTATGGAAAGGTGAAATGAGGAAAACATTGCAAAACACTGAAAGAGAATATGTCTTTATTTGCATGCTGGCAAATGAAAATTCCGGTTTCACTTCTACTTCAGTATCTAACAAGTCTCTAACAAGAACAGACATTGAATGAATGAATTAAGTTGAGCTGTTTGAAAATTAGAATGTTTTCCATAAATACATTATTGAACTATCAATTAGCATAAACTGCTACTTTCTTGTTTGACACTGGTCACAGTATTTGAAAGTAAAAAGAATGTTACTGCACATTCAGAAATCAGGTCCACATAAAATTTAAGGTCAGGATATTAAAGGATCACAGCCAGTGCTGTTAGGCCTTCATTTATTCTATCTTTTTGTCTGTTCAGACATGATAACTTTTCTACCCATCATTTTTTCCATTCTAGTAGTGGTTACATTTGTTCTTGGGAATTTTGCTAATGGCTTCATAGTGTTGGTAAATTCCATTGAGTGGGTCAAGAGACAAAAGATCTCCTTTGCTGACCAAATTCTCACTGCTCTGGCAGTCTCCAGAGTTGGTTTGCTCTGGGTAATATTATTACATTGGTATGCAACTGTTTTGAATCCAGGTTCATATAGTTTAGGAGTAAGAATTACTACTATTAATGCCTGGGCTGTAACCAACCATTTCAGCATCTGGGTTGCTACTAGCCTCAGCATATTTTATTTCCTCAAGATTGCCAATTTCTCCAACTTTATTTTTCTTCACTTAAAAAGGAGAATTAAGAGTGTCATTCCAGTGATACTATTGGGGTCTTTGTTATTTTTGGTTTGTCATCTTGTTGTGGTAAACATGGATGAGAGTATGTGGACAAAAGAATATGAAGGAAACGTGAGTTGGGAGATCAAATTGAGTGATCCGACGCACCTTTCAGATATGACTGTAACCACGCTTGCAAACTTAATACCCTTTACTCTGTCCCTGTTATCTTTTCTGCTCTTAATCTGTTCTTTGTGTAAACATCTCAAGAAGATGCAGTTCCATGGCAAAGGATCTCCAGATTCCAACACCAAGGTCCACATAAAAGCTTTGCAAACGGTGACCTCCTTCCTCTTGTTATTTGCTGTTTACTTTCTGTCCCTAATCACATCGATTTGGAATTTTAGGAGGAGGCTGTAGAACGAACCTGTCCTCATGCTCAGCCAAACTACTGCAATTATATACCCTTCATTTCATTCATTCATCCTAATTTGGGGAAGCAAGAAGCTGAAACAGACCTTTCTTTTGATTTTGTGTCAGATTAAGTGCTGAGTAAAAGACCTGAAACTCTCAAATTTCTAGATTCACAAGTGGGACATCGTGTGTCTCCAAGAGAAAACAAACTGATGTTGTCTGGAACATTTTATACTTTCCACTGGTTTTTCTGTATTGTATGTTTTTGAGTAATTTCCAAAAGTATATCTAGAAAAGTCTTTTACCTAAAGTTAGTCTAAAAAGTATCTATATATGCATGTGTATGTGTATATGAAACACTTAAGAGAGAGTGGCAATAACATAATCATTTTTTACAAACTGCCAAATTATAGAAAATATTGTAAGAAATTTTTCAGAATCATGAAGCCATGTGTATTCACAATACAGTTCATATTATCATGTTTCATTTGAAAAATTTATGATCTCTATTTATAATTGTTAAGAACTTACAGCTTATTTCACAAAATCATTGCTCTTTTCCACTGTTATTTGTACCATACGTATGTACCATAGTGTGCTTAAACGTGATTATTTGAACGTCTAGTTTTTTGGATGGTATGCGCATTCTAATCTAAATCAATAATGAAGTTTTATCTTTGGGGTAGTTTTTGTTGCATAATGAATTCTAATTTTATGTTTAATTTAAAGCAAACAATTATTGTTAGAAAACTATGCACAAAATAAAATTCAAGGATGAAAAATATATTTGGAATACATTTTGTATATGTCTACCATCATCAGTACTGAGGAATATTAGATTTTATACAAATATGTGAACAACTGAGAAAAAAGTCATATCTGTAATAGGGATGAAGAAAGAAACACAATGCTGACCTCTTAACTGCTGTCATAAGTCTCCATATACAGGTAGAAAAGTCATTTCTTCCAGTTTTTGAGGTAAAGAAAACCTTTTTTGAAATTGAGATCGGATACCAAATATTTCCGTTTCTTTCCTAAACTGCTTCAGAGCCCCTAAATTGCCGATTCTCTCCACTATCTTCCACATTTAAAAATCTTTTTAAAAATCACATAAATGAACTCAAATCTTTATTACTTGAAAAAATACTCCATGTAAAAATAGTATAGAAATTATGAAAATCATTTGAATTATACTTTCTGCAAATTCTAAAATGACGTCTATGACATCTATGTATTGATGATAGGAAATGACTTAAATATATGTTTTATTATAATCTAGTTGCAAATAATGCAGTGAGAGAAAGTGTGTTGACATATTCAGTGATAGCAAGTTCTATTATAGGAAAAAATGTATAACGTCATTAAACAAGTAAATTCTACAGACTGTATCAATTCTCGGAGTTATGAAATTTTAACAATGTTATCTAAACCTTGAGATAAATCATTTGATTTAGTTATTTGTTTGTTTATTATATATCTTTCCTGGTACAACGTAAGCACCATAAAAGCAGAGACCCTGGTCGGGGTCGGTGGCTCACGCCTATAATCCCAGCACTTTGAGAGGCCGAGGTGGGCGGATCACGAGGTCAGGAGATCAAGACCGTCCTGGCTAACGCTGTGAAACCCGGTCTCTGCTAAAAATACAAAAAAATTAGCAGGGCGTGGTGGCGGGAGCCTGTAGTCCCAGCTACTCGGGAGGCTGAGGCAGGAGAATGGCATGAACCCAGGAGGCGGAGCTTGCAGTGAGCCGAGATCGCGCCACTGCACTCCAGCCTGGGCGACAGAGCGAGACTCCGTCTCAAAAAACAACAACAACAAAAAACAGAGATCCTGCAGACCTTGCTTATTGTTGACTGCCAGGACCTAAAAGATCACATAAAAAATAGATAGCCAAAAATATTTTGAAGAACAAATGAGTTAGTGAATAGAGTAATAAATTACATGTCTTGGGGTGGTGAACCAGTGAAAATGAAGCATCACAAAATCTACAGTTGCATGAATTTGCCTATTCTGGTTTCTGGTTGAGATGACAGAATTATCTAAGAAGAAGCATTTTTCAGAGTAAAAGTGTGGTTATTCCATACTTGCAGGGGAAATATCGCTATATATAGCCTTGATGCAGCTATATCAGACTAAAAACATGGAGATAAGGTGGAACATCAAAATCACATGGCACCCACTACAATACCTTCAAAACAGCATATAAAAGACTTTTGGATATTTGTATATATTTTCTCGATTGTGAATGATATATTTGTATTCTGATATTTCTAGCTGGTTATTATGTAAAAAATGCATTTCAATTTTAAAAATTGAGTTAGTTATGAATTACCTTACTAAAATGTGATTTTTATATAATATTTTTAATATCCTTTCTAAATGAACATTTTAATTGCCATATTATAAAATCACAGAAAAGTGAGTGAAAAATAAATTATACCACTGAATGAATATCTTAGCTTTGGAGGTCTAGAACTAGAGCCAGTGTCTGATATTAAAGTGATAACATTTCTTTGGAAGGTAAGTCCAGGGCAGCAATGGCAGGGACGCGTGGAAATTGAGGCAAGAGCACGTGGAAAGTGAGGCAAGAGCAGATGTGAAAGAACGTGTTGGGATGTATTGTAACAATGTGTTGTGTGTATGTGACTCTGTTGTGGCAACTTCATTATAAGGTGAGAGAGACAGCATGGTGGTCATCAGATGCATGCACTTGGACCCCAGTACTTTTCCGGAAAGGCTACAAGGGGAATACCACAGCCAGCATTAGTCCATGGAAGCGAGAGAGGAGGGAGAATGTATCTGTTCAGCTGTCTTCTGTCTTCCATTTTCCATTGGCCAGGGTTTCCCTGAGGCGGAACTACCATCTCTGCTGTTCTGCTTTCCATCATCCAGTCCGTTGGTGGCTGTTATGAAAGACAGACCTCAGGCCCACAGTGTGGTGTTCCATTCAAGGAAGGATGGTAGGATGATCTGGATCAGGCAAGGTGCTGGCCTAGAGAATAAGTGACAGTTAAGGGAATCTGAGGAAGCACATGTTTAAGTCCAATACTGTCTACTCCTTGTACCACTCAGATTTGCTCATGTCTTCCAATCATGGCTGGCTTTATGGGCATATGATTTCCACTGTTGCACAGGGTCTTGTGCTTAGAGGCGCTCATGCTTAGAGGGGCAATCATTAGTCTTCCTGTTGCATGCTGTATTAGCAGCAATGAACCTGGTTTATTTGGGGGATGCTGCCATCTTCTGATTTTATCATTGTTCGCTGGGCACCTCTTCTCAATCTCCTTTGCTGGTTCTTTCTCTTGTCTCTAATCTTCTGCAACTGCTGTTTTGTTTTTGAGACAGAGGGCACTCCTCTGCTGAAGAGGGAATGGTCTTGCACTAATTCCCTAGGAGTTTTCTCTCCCCTCTCCTGTGGATTTGTCAGAGACTTGGACAGAGTCCTGTAATGCCCACTATGCATGCCTCTAGCATGTTTGAATTCTGCTGGATCATCTGGCACAACGGGCAGAGCAGCTTAGGCCAGACCCTATAGCTGTTATGGAACCCTTTTTTGTTCTGGTTTCCACTTGAGACCAATGGCCTTTGGAAACTCCATTAGTGAGTCAGAGCAATATCCTCAAATGAGGAATATGTTGACTCCAAAATCCCAATAGGCCCAAAAAACACTGTGCCTCTTTTTTAGTGAGAAGAATTATGTATCAGGAAACATGCCGTTTACTTTAAAAAGGATGTTTTGACACAAGGACCAGGAGCATGGACCTGTAAAAACACCATCTATGTTATAAGTTCCTGAATCTGCTGAGGTTTATGTCTCTCTTCTTCTGATATTTTACTTCTGTTCAAAGTAATACTATTTTACTATATTTAAGGAACTTGCCACTTCCTGCTTATGAATACCAATTAAAGTAATATTATTAATATATTGAGTTAGCATGATGTTTTGCAAAATGCCAATTAAACTGAAAACAGAAGTGACACAGCTCTGACATAAAACAGTGAAGCAGTGCTTTTGTTCTTACCCCAACAAACAAATTGTTTTGATTTTCTCTCACAAAGGGTGTAGATTTAAAAACATTCGCCAAATCAAAAGCCACATACAAAGTACCAGAAACCACGTTCTGCTCAGTGAAGGTACCACATCCTAGAGAGCATCTGCAAGTGCGATTTAAGTTTATGCTAATGTGCATTCATCTGATAATCCATCTGGTTTTGGCAGAGGCCAGATAGGTTAACTGAATAGGGATATAAAATGTACTACCACCCCCAGTGTTCATTATCAAGAGGACTTAAGCTTCCTTTCAGTCGTTTATCTCTGCTTCTGTGAATTGGCTCAGTCCTGAGAACTGGCTGAGGGTCTTTGATTTGTCATATCAGTGCCTGACCTCAGGACTCAGCTTTTTCAACTCTGTTTTCCTCTTGATTTATAGTTATTTAGCAAAGTATGAAGCCTCTTCAACTATTGGCCTATCAGCCCAATCCAATGAGGCTGTTGCTGTCACCACTTCATTAAATCTGACATTTGTTAAGATCACCAGTGAGTGCGTGTTGCCAATGGTTAGTCTTCATGTTGCATGCTCTATTAGCAACATTGGACATGGTTTACTGGGGGGATGCTGCCCTCTTCTGATTTTATTGTTGTTCACTGGGCACCTCTTCTCAATCTCCTTTGCTAGTTCTTTCTCTTGCCTCTAAACTGAAAATGTCACACTGCCGAAGGTCTCAATTCTTCAATCTTTAATCAATCAGACTTGTTTTGTTGGTGATCTCATGCAGTCTCCTTACTGATAATGTAGCCAAATGGTTCAATAGAGAGGAATAAGGCTGATTATTCATCTATATATTCATATATATCATTTTAATATAGCATTGCAGATATTGGCAGATTGATATGTGGGGAATTTTAATTATATGATGATCTATATATAATTAGATAATGATATAAGTGAAGAAATACATAGATAGAATTATGGTTTACTAACCCATTTTTGATTTCTTGCGTTTTGTACAATGTCTCAGTATCTGTTAGTATCTTATTTCTTAAGTTTTTTTCTCTATGATCAATTACTTATGAGTTAATTTTTGTGTACAGTATAAAATAAGGGTCTAAATTTACGTTTTTTTCCTTCTCTTTTAACTCCCACTTCTTAGGTAAGTTCATCTACTCATGGCCTTACTTATTTTCTGTGTGCTGATGATGCCAACATTTAATCTTTCAGCTGAGATCTCAACGCTGGTCTCCGAATCCTTTCTCTAATAGACTATTTGACATCTTCATTTGGATGCCTAACAGGAACTTGAACTAACATGTCCAAATCAAAATACTGCTCTTCCCCCAATTGTCAGATTTGTTTCTTCTACAGTCTTTCCCTCTTCTGCTAATGACCACTTCAGACTTTCAGATGCTTAGACTAAAAAAAAATGGAGTCAATATTTTCTCTCTTTCAGAACCTATCTTTAAGGCATCAGCAAATTTTGTTGACTCTACCCTCAAAAACCTACAGAATCCAATCCCTTGTCATCACTCTGCCATACTAGTCTAAACTGCTGCATATCTTGCCAGGATATTTGCCATGAGTTTCTAATTATTCTTTCTAGTTCTGCACATCCTTTTATCCTGATGTATTCTCAAGGTGGCAGCCAGAGAGAACCTGTAAAAACGCAAATTTGATCATGCCATTCTTCTCCTCCAGATTTTTCAGTGGCTTTCATCTAATTCAGAGTAAAGGCCAAATCCTTACGAAGTCTTATAATCATTTGAATGATCTGATTTTGTCTGCCTGTGTGCCCTAAAACACCTGGCTCATCCCATGCTAACAACACTGGCCTTTGTGTCACTTCTTGAATATGCCAAGCATTGCCTCAGGGACTTCATACTTGTGTCCCTTCTTCTTGGATTGCTCTTTCTCAGATATCAACACTGAACGTTATCACTCCTCAGATATCATTGAATCATTGAGGCCTCCAATACTACCTTATTTAAAGATAAATCTCATTTCACTTTGCAGTTTTTTTTTCTTTTTTTAGCTTTTATTTTAGATTCTGGGGTACATGTGCAGGTTTGTTATGTAACTAAATTGCATGTCTCAGGCACTTTGTGTACAGATTATTTTGTCACTCGGGTGGGAAGCAGAGTACCTGATAGGTATCTCTTTTATCTTCACTCTCCTCCTTCTCTCTGTTCACATAGACCGTGGTGTCTGTCGTTCCCTTCTTTGTGTCCATCTGTACTCAATGTTTAGCACCCACTTATAAGTGAGAACATGTGGTATTTGTTTTCTGTTTCCATGTTTATTGGCTTAGGATAATGGCCTCCAGCTCCACCCATATTGCTACATCATCTTGTTTTTTTCTAATGACTGCATAGTATTCCATGGTGTGTATGTACCATATTTTCTTTATCCAGTCTACTATTTATGGGCAGTTAGGTTTATTCCATGTCTTTGCTATTATGAATAGTTCTGTCATGAATATTTTCATGCATGTGTCTTTATGGTAGAACAATTTATATTTCTCTGGATATATATCCAATAATGGAATTGCTGGTTTGAATGGTAATTCTGTGTTAAGTTCTTTGGAAAATTGCCATGCTGATTTCCACAATGGCTGGACTAATTTACCTCCCCACCAGCAGTGTGAAAGCATTCCCTTTCACCACAATCTTGCCAGAATCTGTTGTTTTTTGGGGGTTTTAGTAATAGCTATTCTGACTGGTATGAGATAGTATCTCATTGTGGTTTTGAATCACATTTCTTTAATGATTAGTTATATTGAGCATTTTTTCATATGTTTGTTGGCTGAGTGTATGTCTTCACTTGAAAATTGTTCATGTCCTTTATCAAATTTTTAATGGTGGTATTTGTTTTTTGCTTGTAAATGTAAATTCCTTATATGTTCCGGATATTACGCCTTTGTCATTTGCATAGTTTACGAAATATTTTCTCCCATTCTGCAGGTTGTCTGTTTACTCTGTTGATAGTTTCTTTTCTTGTGCAGAAGCTCTTCAGTTTAATGAGGTTCCACTTTTCAATTTTTGTTTCTGTTGCAATTGATTTTGGTGTCTTTGCCATGAAATCTTTGCCAGGTCCTATGCAGGAATGGTGTTTACTAGGTTATTTTTCCGTTTTTTAAAAAAATAGTTTTAGGTTTTACATTTTATTATTTAACCCAGCTTGCATTGAGTTTTGTGTATGTATAAGAAAGGTGTCCAGTTTCCATCTTCTGCACATGGCTATCCAGTTATCCCAGCACCATTTATAGAGCAGGGAGTCTCTCCTCATGGCTTGTTTTTGTTAACTTTGTTGAAGATTAGATGGTTGTAGGTGGGTGGCATTATTTCTCGGGTCTCTATTCTGTTCCCTTGGTCTACGTGCCTGTTTTTGTACCACTACCATGCTGTTTTAGTCTCTGTATCCTTGTAGTATGGTTCAGTCAGGTAATGTTATACTTCCTGCTTTGTTCTTTTTGTTTGGTATTGCCTTGGCTATTTGGGCTTTTTTTTTTTCATTCCCAGTGAATTTTAAAATAGTTTGTTTCTAATTTTGTGAAGAAT
This sequence comes from Homo sapiens, assembly GCF_000001405.40. Taxonomy (NCBI): domain Eukaryota; kingdom Metazoa; phylum Chordata; class Mammalia; order Primates; family Hominidae; genus Homo; species Homo sapiens. The sequence continues at coordinate 155,741 of NT_187658.1, read as the reverse complement.
ATCAATGATAATTTGACAGGAATAGCATTGAATCTATAAATTGGTTTGGGCAGTATGGGCATTTAAACAATATTGATTCTTCCCATCCATGCACCTGGAACGTTTTCCCGTTTGTCCATGTCTTATTGGATTTAATTGAACAGTCTCTTGTAATACTCTTTGTAGAGATATTTCACCTCCCTGGTCAGCTGTATTCCTATGTATTTTATTTTTTGGGACTATTGTGAAAGGGATTGCCTTCTTGATTTGTCTTTGCTTGAATTTTGTTGCTATAGGAATGCTACTAATTTTTGTACATTGATTTTGTATCCTGGGAATTTGCTGAGTTTGTTTATCAGACCAAGGAGATTTTGGCCAGAAACTGTGGGGATTTCTAGGTATAAAGTCACATTATCTGCGAACAGGGATAATTTGACTTCTTCTCTTCTATTGGGATGCCTTTTATTTATTTCTCTTCCTGATTGCTTTGACCAGGACTTCCAGTACTGTTGAATAAGAGTGGTGAGAGAGGACACCCTTGTCTTGTTCCTGTTTTCAAGGGGTAATGCTTCCAGTTTTGCCCATTTAGTATGATATTGGCTGTGGGTTTGTCATGGGTGGCTCTTATTATTGTGAAGTATATATCTTCAATGTCTAGTTTGTTGAGAGTTTTTAATATGAAGAGACATTGAATTTTATTGAAAGCCTTTTCTGCATCTATTGAGATAGTAATGTGGTTTTTGTTAGTTTCACTTATGTGATGAATCACATATATTGATTTACATGTGTTTAACCAAACTTGTATCCCAGTGATAAAGCCTGCTTGATTATGGTGGATTAGCTTTTTGATGTGCTGCTGGATTCAACTTGCTGGCATTTTGTGGAGTGTTTTTTTTAAATCTATGTTTATTGAGGTTGTTTTCTTTTATTGTTGTGTCTCTGCCTGGTTTTGGTATCAGGGTGATATTAGCCTTGTAGAATGAGTTAGCGTGGAGTTTCTTTTCCTCAGTTTTTTAGAGTAGGTTTAGTGTGAATAGTACCAGTTCTTTATACACATGGTGGAATTCTGCTGAGAATCTATCAGGTCCTAGGCTTTTTTTGTTTGTTTGTCTGGTAGGCTTTTTATTACTCTTTCAATTTGGAACTTGTTATTGGTTTGCTCAGGGATTCAATTTCTTACTGATTCAGTCTTGAAAGGTTGTACATATCCAGCAGTTTATCCATTTCTTCTAGGTTTTCTAGCTTGTGGGCATAGAGGTGTTGACAGTAGTTTGGGAGGATTGTTTGTATTTCAGTGGGGTCAGTGGTAATATCCACTTGGTCATTTTTGATTGGGTTTATTTGGATCTTCTCTCTTTTTTTTCTTTATTAGTCTGGTTAGGGGTCTATCATATTAATTTTTTAAAAACATCAAATCCTGGATTCACTGACCTTTTGTATGTTTTTTTTAATCACAATTTCCTTCAGTTCAGCTCTGATTTTGGTTATTTATTGTCTTTTGCTAGCTTTGGCATTGGTTTGCTCTTGTTTGTTTAGTTTCTCTTGTGAAGTTATGTTATTAATTTGAGATCATTCTAACTTTTTGATGTGAGTGTTTATTGCTACGAACTTTCCTCTTAACACTGCCTTATCCATATCCCAGAGATTCTGGTATGTTGTATCTTTGTTCTCATTATGTTCAAAAAATTTCTTGATTTCTGCCTTAATTTCAATATGTACCCAAAAGTCATTCAGGAGAGGGTTGTTTAATTTCTATGTAATTATATGGTTTTAAGGTATTTTCTTAGTATTTATTTATATTTTTATTGTGCTGTGGTCCAAGAATGTGGTTGGTATGGTTTTCTTTTTTTCATATTTGCTAGGAATTGTTTTATGTTAGGTTGTGTGGCTGATTTTAGATTATATGCCATGTGCAGATGAGAAGAATGTGTATTCTGTTGTTTTGGGGTGAACTGTTTTGTGGATGTCTATTAGGTTCATTTGGTTAAGTGTCTATTTCAGGTCCTGAATAACTTTGTTAGTTTTCTGCCTTGATGTTCTGTCTAGTGCTGTTGGTGGGGTGTTGAAATCTCTTGCTATTATTGTGTGATTTTCTAAATCTTTTAATAGGTCTCTGAGAACTTGCTTTCTGAATCTGGGTGTTCTTTTGTCAGGTGCATATACATTTAGAATAGTAATGTCTTCCTGGTGAATTGAGCCTTTTTCAATTATGCAATGCCCTTCTGTTTCTTCTTGATCTTTGCTGGTTAAAGACAGTTTTGTATGAAAGTAGATTATCAAGGTCAGGTGCCATGGCTCAGACTTGTAATACCAGCACTTCAGGAGGCTGAGGTGGGTGGATCACTTGACCCCAGGAGTTTGAGACCAGCCTGAGCAACATGGCAAAATCCTGTCTCTATCAAGAAAAAAACAAATACAAAAATTAGCCAGTCATGGTGGTGCACACATGTGGTCCCAGGTACTTGCAAGGCTGAGTTGGGAGGATTTCTTGAGACCAGGAGGTAGAGGTTGTGGTAGGCTGAGATTGCGCCACTGCACTATGGCCTGGGCAACAGAGTGAGACCCTGACTCAAAACAAACAAACAAACAAAAAGAAGTTAGAATAGCAACCCTGCTTCTATTTTCCATTTGCTTGGTAGATTTTTCTCCATCTTTTAAATTTGAGCTTATGGGTATCACTGCATGTAAGTGAGTCTCTTGAAGACACTATACCATTGCGTCTTGCTTCTTTATCCAAATTGCCTCTATGTGCCTTTTAGTTGGGGTGTTTAACCTGTTTACATTCGAGGTTAGTATTGATATGTGGGAATTTGATCCTTTCATTATGTTGTTAGCTGCTTATCATGCAGACTGGTTTCTGTGGTTACTTTATAGTATACTGGTCTATGGCCTTAAGTGTGATTTTGTTATGGCTGATAATGATCTTTCTTTTCTATGATTAGCAATCCATTCAGGACCTCTTGTGAGGTGGGTCTGGTGGTAATCAAATCCCTTAGCATTTGTTTGTCTGAAAAAGATCCTATTTCTCCTTCACTTATGAAGTTTAGTTTGGCTGGATATGAAATTCTTGGTCGGACATTCTTTTTCAAAAAATTTCTGAATATGAGCCCCCATCTCTTCCTGGTTGTAGAGTTTCTGCTAACAGGTCCACTGTTAGCTCAATGCTGTTCCCTTTGTAGGTGACCTGCCCTTTCTCTCTAGATGCCTATGGCACTTTTTCTTTCATTTTCGCCTTGGAGAATCTGATGACTATGTGTCTTGGGTATATTCTTCTTGTGTAGTATTTCGTAGGGGTTCTCTGCATTTCCTGAATTTGAATGCTGGCCTCTCTAACAAGGTTGAGGAAATTTTTATGGACTATATCCTGAAATAGGTTTTCCAAGTTGTTTGCCTTCTATTCCTGTATTTCATGGATGCCAATGAGTCATATATTTAGTCTGTTAACAAAATATTATATTTCTTGGAGGTTTTGTGCATTCTTCTTCATTATTTTTCTTTATTTTTGCCTGACTGAGTAATTTCAGAGGACTACTCTTGAGCTCTGAGATTCTTTCCCCAGCTTTGTTGATTCTGTTGTTAACACTTGCATTAGTATTCCAAAATTCGTGAAGTGATGTTTTCAGCTCTATCAGATCAGTTGGATTTTTTCTTAAAATGACCATTTTGTTTGTGTCTTCTGTATCATTTTATGGCGTTCCTCAGAATCTTTGGATTGTGTTTTGACTTTCTCCTGAATTTCATTGATCTTTGTTCCTATCCATGGTCTGAATCATATTTCTGCCTTTTCAGCATGGGAGGGAACTAGCGTGGTCATTTGGAGGTAAGAAGATACTCTGGCTTTTTGAGTTGCCACAGTTATTGTGCTGATTCTTTCTCATCTCTGTGGGCTGATATTCTTCAGTCTTCGAAGTTGCCATTCTTTGGATTTTTTTTTTTCTGTTTTTATCTTCTTTGACACACTTTGGGGTTTCACTGTGGATTCCATCAAATGAGTTTGTTTCTGGTAGATTTTAGGGGGGAAAAGATTTCTAACTCTAAGTCTGGGGTCTAGTTTTGGACACCGGACTTTGTTCTCTGGCACCTCAACATTGGGAATCTGCTGTGCTGGAAGGGACATTGTGTTCCTGAATTGCTGGCCACAACACTCTGAAGGATGGTACCAGCCAAAGCTCTTCATTGAATAGTGACAGTGTAACGCAAGCTTGTTAACACATGCCAGCAGCAGCAGTGTGGCAGGGTATAGGCTCTTGGACCGGGATGGGGTGCAGGCTGGCCCAAGGCTGCCAGCTTCCATGCGGGCATTGGCAGTAGCCTAAATTCATCTTTATGCATGTGGATATTTAATTTTCCCAGAATCATTTGTTGAGAAAAATGATTAATTCCTATTGAATTGCAATTGTATGATTTTAAAAATCAGCTGACCATGAATGTCATTACTAATTTCTGGACAGTCAATTGTGTTTCATTGTTCTTTTTGTCTCTCATAGTGCAATTACCACAGTGTCTTGATTTAGTCCAGTAAACTTGCAGTAAACTTTGAAATGAGAAACTAATCCTCCAACTTTGTATTTAAAAAAAAATTATTTTATTGGCCTAATCACTTGGCATTTCCAGGCATATTTTTGGAGTAGTTTTACATTTTCTGCAGAAAAAGCTTTCTGTGACGTGATGAGGGTTGCATTATAAATTGCTCTTCACACGTAAAGACTCGCCTTGTGCTGGATTTCATTTCAGGTGGTCCTTATTGCTTGCAAGCTCTTTGATGAATACAAACATAATTTTGGCCCCTTTATTTATCTTATGCTAGTTGTTGCAGAAGGACATCTTGCTTTCTTGAACCTATTACATCTATTCAAAAGTGGAAGTTTTCACAGGTAACCTCTCTGTATCAAGTAACACAAGATCAAATAAAACACGAGCAATCCTTGTTTCGTGCCTGAACCAGACAGGTGATATTGAAATCAGTTATACAAATGTGTACTAACTCTTCATAAAGACTATCCAAAGAGGGTATTATTATCATCTGCATTTAATAGATAGCTATCCTAAGGCTGTTGTAAAATAGATTCTCGGATCATACCTATATGAAGCAGAGAACTGGATTTCCTTTCCTGGCAGTCTGACTCCAAGATCCTTTCTTAGAAACAATTATACTGTAAAAACTGAGAATGAATAAAACCCAACATTGGAGACTGATTTTAACATCTGTTAATCTTAAACCATTAAATAATAAAAATAAGTTAAAATGAAAGAAAAATATCCAAATATTCATATACAGAGAAGTCAATATTCTTCAATCGAAAACACATTTTTTAAGTGCTCAAGGAATATTTACAAAAATGCTGAATATTTAATTAAATAATTCATATTTGTATATCAAATTGACTTAAGAGAATGACTTCCTTAAAAGCCTAAGGATGCGAGATCAGTTCGATAAATATTGAAAATGGGCTGAAAATTATGAGTAGGAAAATAGGGCCATTTCAACCTGCATGTGACATCCCTAAAATTTATTTTCCATTTTGGAAACTGTAGGACAAAAACTATTCCCATTCATGTGGGGTATATGTATATGTGTATGGGTGTATATGTCTTCCCAAGAAAATCTTGAATGCTTTTGATAGGAAAAATTTAGATTCTGTTTACATGTATCTGGTATTGAGAAAAATAAATTAACAGCAGTCATGATACAAGTTATGATCAAGCTTCCTTCAGAAATTTAGACATCCAATATATGATCTATGTATTGGGTTTAAAAATTTCCATAGCAAGTGATGTTGCTGAACACAAATTATGACTACACGAGGAAAATATTGCAAAACAGTGAAAGAGAATATGTCTTCATTTGCATGCTTGCAAATGAGAAATCAGCTTTTACTTCCAAATTATTATGAAAAAAGCCTATAGCAAGAAGAGACGTTGTTTAAATAGTAGGTAATTTGAGCCGTTTTGAAAATTACATTTTTTCCATAAAGGCAGCATTGAACTCATCCATTAGTATGCCCTAGCGCTTTCCTATTTGACATTGGTCCCAGAATTGAATTTAGAAGAACCAAGAATTTTACTGCACATTCAGAAATCAGGATCGCAGAGAGTTTAAGATCAAGACCTTAAAGGGGATCATGACCAGTGATACTGGGCTTGCCCTTTTTTAATGTGTGTTTGTTCAGACATGGGAAGTTTACTACCAATCTTTTTTTTTTCCAAACTAGTAATGATAGAATTTGTATTTTCCTATGATGCCTATATTAAATGTATAATCATTTTAATATTTTAACACTTTTTTAATGAGTTCTTTCAAGGGTTGTTAAACAATCTAAACAATCTAATTTTCCCTTACAATATGCTGATAGCTAATCATATTTTCTCAAAGTCATTTGACATAATGTTTGATTGAAGAAAATATCTCTGGTATGACTCTACTTGCTGATAACAAAAGAGAATTTGAAACTTCAAGAAAAAAGATTAGAAAAGTTAACAACATAATACAAATAAGTATATTAAATATATAATTTATTCTTAAGAAATGTATATGAAATCAGAGTCGTAGAATGAAAAAAGAGTAATATGTAATTTTTAAACTACAGTTACATTTCAAATGTGAATTTAAATTGTAAAATGTTAAGTTTAATAATATTTTATATAAATATAAAAGTGCAAAAATTATTCTTTGATGTTTCTAATTTTGAAAAGGGCATGAGGCACTGACAATTTTCAGACACTTCTCCTAGGATTATCAATTGAAAGAATTCCTTTGGCTGAGTATGACATAATCTGATTATGATGGAGGATCACCTCATAAGACCCAATATTTGTACTCCTACTGGAATACATATGAAAAAAGTGTGTATCACTGTGTTTTAATAGCTCAAGTTGAGAAGTCTCCCAAATGTCCATCAGTGATAAAATGATAAATAAATTATGGCATACTTATGCGGTAGAGTACTATACAGCAATTAAAAAGCAAACCAGAGTGACATGTTTACAAAGAATTTATATAACAAAGAAAATGAACAAATTTGAGCTAAATAGCTAATACAGATGTGAGAGGAATTATCAATATTGAAAAAATATTCAATATAATTCAATTTATATGAAGTTTGCAAAAATATATTTTAATACATTGTAATTTATTACATTGGTGGCAAAACTCTAAAACGAAACATATAAGTGATTATCATAACAACTGGGATATGTGGGAGGAAGAAAACTAAAGAGAAACAATATCAACAAGAAGGTATATATGGGGAGTGTCTGGATTTTTGGCAAATTTTATTTTTTGGCCAAGATGTAGTAAACATGGGAGATAAACTTATAATTTTTTCCCTAACTGTGTATTTAAGTTTTGTTACTTTTCATAACTATGTTATGTTCGACAATAGTAAAAATATTTAAAAATCAGAAAATAAAGTAAAATAATAAAAAATTAAGCCAAAACTACATATGTGCATAGATACAATGGTATTATAATTATCATGTTTTTCTTAACAAAGAAGCATAGTGCATTATGGTAGTAAGAAATACAAGTTAAAATTATAAGCTTTTCTTTAAATTAATTTTTAAAAGAAGGTATAATCTAGAAATGTAAATTTAAATTCTTAATGCTAATCTTGGACAAAGCCTCCAGGAGCAACTGAAAACCTCTCTGCCACTGGCCTCTGCAGTAGAACTGCCCTTGCCACTCTTGGACTAATGAAGGAGCAAAGATCCTAAGTGCCTTATCCATACCTCCAACAAGATGCAGTCAACCCAAGGAGAGAAACCCAGTTAGACTTCCATGGGTCCCACAAATGCACAAACCCTCCATCTTGGGCTGACTGCACTGAGTGTTTGCTGACCTGCATCTCTCTGGGATGGAACCCCCAGAGGTTGACTCTTGGCCACAACCACTACTAAGATCTCTTCAGTGCTACCTCTAAACTGGGAAAGGAATATAAACACTGAGATTCCACCAGGGCTGCAGTTGGCAGCTCAGGAATGCCAAGTTTTGAACTGTAGCCAGGACTGAAGGGCACAAGGAACCTACATCTTCAGAACACTGAGAGGGAACATGGCTGCAACTGTGAGGAAACATAGGGGAAACATATAATTGAGCAACAGTCTATCAACTGACCAATAAGCATAAGTGTCACCTGCTGGATTACACCCCAAAACTTCAACACCAAAAATGCCTCACTAACATAACCCCCTTTGAAGCCAGAGACACAAAGTCAGCTTCAAATAAATACCCTACACAAAGGCTCTCCCTGGTGAAAACATCCAGAAAGGAAGTCTATTTACTGTGCCTAATATACACTGCAGTTAAAGAAACACCCACATACAGAGATGAGAAAGAACAAATGCAATAACTCAAATGGCCAGAATATCATATTTCCTCCAAAAGACTACAGCAGTTTTCCAACAAGAGTTCTTAACAAGGTTGAACTGGCTAGAATGACAGAATACAGTATATGGCAGAAACAAAGATTATTGAGATTTGGGAGGAAGACAAAACCCAATCCAAGGAAAATAAGAATCACAATAATGTGATACAGGAGCTGAAGGATGAAATAACCAGTATTAGAAAGAATTTAATGGGTCTGACAGAGCTGAATAACGCAATACAAGAATCTCACAATGCAATCACAAGGATTATCAGCAGAATATACTAGTCTGAGGGAAGAGTTTCAGAACTTGAAGACTGGTTTTCTGAAATAATACAGTCAGACAAAAATAAAGAAAAAGCATAAAAAGAAATGAACAAAACCCCTGAGAAGTATGGGATTATAAAAAGAGGTTAAATCTGTAAATCACTGGAATCCCTGAAAGGGAGAGCCAGAAAGCAAACAACTTGGAAAGTATATTTCAGAATATCATTCATGAACTCTTTCCCAACCTTGCTAGAGAGGCCAACAGACATATTCAGGAAATACAGAGAACTCATGCAAGATTCTACACAAGATCATCTCCAAGATATATAATCATCAGATTTCCCAAGATTGAAATAAAAGAAAGAATGTTAAAGGCAGCCAGAGAGAAAGGGCAGGTCACGTACAAAGGGATTTCTATCACGGTAACAGCAGATCTGTCAGCTGAGTTCTTACAAATTAGAAGAGATTGGAGGCCTATATTCAACATTCTTAAAGAAAAAAATCTTCAGCCAAGAATTTCATATCCAACCAAATTAAGCTTTTTAAGTGAAGGAGAAGGAAGATTTTTTTCAGGTAAGCAAATGTTGAGGGAATTTATTATCACCAGAACTGCCTTACAAGAGATCTTGAAAGCGGCACTTAGTATAGAAAAGAACACCACTACCAGCTAATAAAAAAAACCCTGAAACACAGAGACCAGTGTCACTGTAAAGCAACAACACAAACAAGACAACATAATAACAAGCTAACAGCACAATGACAGGATCAAATCCACACATATCAATATTAATCTTGAATGTAAATGGGCTAAATGACACAATTAAATGGCACAGAATGGCAAGCAGGATAAAAAAGCAAGACCCAATGGTATTCTGTCTTCAAGAGACCCGTCTCAAATTTAATGACACTCATAGGCTCAAAATAAATAAATGGAGAAAAATCTACCAAGCAAATGGAAAACAGAAAAAAGGGGGGTTGCAATCCTAATTTCAGACAAAACAAGTTTCAAACAAATGAAAGTTTTTTAAAAAAAAGACAAGCAAGGATATAACATAATGGTAAAGTATTCAATTTAACAAGAAGACCTAACAATCCCAAATAGATATGCACCCAATACAGGAATGTCTGGATTCATGAGGCAAGTTCTTAGAGACCTACAAATAGACATACACTCCCACCCAATAATAGTGAGTGACATCAACACTCCACTGACAGTATTAGATCATACAGGCAGAAAATTAATGAAGATATTTAGGACCTAAACTTAGCATTGGACCAAATGGATCTGGTAGACCTTTACAGAAGTGTCCATCCCCAAATAAGAGAATATACATTCTTTTCATAGCCACATGGCACATACTCTATAATCAACCACATAATTGGATATAAAACAATCCTCAACAAATGTAAAATAACCAAAATCATACCAAACACACTCTCAGGCCACAGTGCAATAAAAATAAAAGTCAACACAATGAAAATTATTAAAGCATACAATTACATGGAAATTAAACATCATGCTCCTGGATGACTTTTAGATAAATTTAAGTCTGAAATCAAGAAGTTCTATAAAAATAATAAGAACAAAGATACAACAAACCAGAATCTCTGAGACACAACTAAGGCAGTAGTAAGAGGGAAATTCATAGCACTAAATGCCCACATCAAAAAGTTTGTAAGGCCTCAAATTAACAATCTAAATTCAAAATTGAAAGAATTAGAGAAAAAAGAACAAATCAACCCCGAAGCTAGCAGAAGATAAGGAATAACACAAATCAGAGCTGAACTGAAGGAAATTAAGACACAAAAAACCATTCAAAAGATCAATGAATTTGGGAGTTGGAATTAAAAATAATTATAAAATAGGCCACTAGGTAGACTAATTAAGAAGAAAAGAGAGAAGATCCAAATAAACACAATTAGAAATGATTTAAAGGAATGTTATTACTTACCCTACAGAAATGGAAACAGCCATCAGAACCACTGTAAACACCTCTGTGCAGACAAACTAGAAAACCTAGAAGAGATAGATAAATTCCTGGACACATACACCCTCCCTGCTGCTGGAAGTCAGAGACCCCAAACGGAGGGACCAGCTGAAGCCATGGCAGAAGAACATAAATTGTGAAGATTTCATGGACATTTATTAGTTCCCCAAATTAATACTTTTATAATTTCTTATGCCTGTCTTTACTGCAATCTCTGAACATAAATTGTGAAGATTTCATGGACACTTATCACTTCCCCAATCAATACCTTTGTGATTTCCTATGCCTGTCTTTACGTTAATCTCTTAATCCCATCATCTTCATAAGCTGAGGAGGATGTATGTTGCCTCAGGACCCTGTGATGATTGCATTAACTGCACAAATTGTAGAGCCTGTGTGTTTGAACAATATGAAATCTGGGCACCTTGAAAAAAGAACAGGATAACAGCAATGTTTAGGGAAAAAGGGAGATAACCTTAACCTCTGACTGCTGGTTAGCTAGGTGGAACAGAGCCATATTTCTCTTCTTTCAAAAGCAAATGGAGAAATATCACTGAATTCTTTTTCTCAGCAAGGAACATCCCTGAGAAAGAGAATGTGTCCCTGAGGGGAGGCCTCTGAAATGGCCGCTTTGGGGACGGCTGTCTTTTACAGTCTTAGCTGAGGGATGAAATAAGCTCTGGTCTCCCGTAGCACTCCCAGGCTTATTAGGATGAGGAAATTCCTGCCTAATAAATTTTGGTCAAACCGGTTGTCTGCTCTCAAACCCTGTCTCCTGATAAGATGTTATCCATGACAATTCATGCCCGAAACTTCATTAGCAATTTTAATTTTGCCCCGGTCTTGTGGTCCTGTGATCTCGCCCTGCCTCCATTTGCCTTTTGATATTTTATTACCTAGTGAAGCATGTGATCTCTGTGACCCACACCCTATTTGTACACTCCCTCCCCTTTTGAAAATCACTAATAAGAACTTGCTGGTTTTATGGCTTAGGGGGCATCACTGAACCTGCCAACATGTGATGTCTCCCCCAGACACCAGCTTTAAAATTTCTCTCTTTTGTACTCTGTCTTTTTATTTCTCAGACTGGCTGACACTTAGGGAAAATAGAAAAGAACCTAAGTGAAATATCGGGGGTGAATTTCACCCGATACTCCCAAGACTGAACCAGGAAGAAATTTGTTCCCTGCACAGACCAATAATGAACTCCAAAATTGAATCAGTAATAAATAGCCTATGAACCCAAAAAAGCCCAAGACCTGCTGGATTCACAGCCAAATTCTACCAGGTGTACAAAGAAGAGCTGTTACCATTTTTACAGAAACTAATCCAAAAAGTTTAGGAGGACTTCTCTTTAATTCATTGTATGAGGCCAGCATCATCTTGATACCAAAACCTGGCAGAGACACAACAGCAACAGAAAATTACAGACCAAAATCCTTGATGGACATCGATGCAAAAATCCTCAACAAAACCTTTGCAAACTGAATCCACAAGCCCATCAAAAAGCTAATCCACCATGATCAAATAGGCCTCATCCTGGCATGCAAAGTTAGTTCAACATACAAAAATCAATAAATATGATTCATCACATAAACAGAACTAAAGACAAAAACCACATGACTGTCTCAATAAATGCAGAAAAGGCTTTTGATAAAAATTCAACATCCCTTCATGTTAAACTATTTCAAAAAATTAGATATTGAAGGAACATACTAAAAATAATAAGAGCCATCTATGATAAACCCACACCCAACATCATACTGAATGGGCAAAAGCTGGAAGCATTCCTCTTGAAAACCAGCAACAGGAAACGATTCCCTCTGTCACCATTTCTTTTCAACATAGTATTGGAAGTCCTGGCCAGAGCAATCAGGTAAGAGAAAGAAATAAAGGACGCCCAAAAAACCATAGAGTATGTCAAACTGTTTGCAGTTGACATATTCTCTATCTACAAAACCCCATAGTCTTGGCTCAAAAGCTCCTTCATCTGATAAACAACTTCAGAAAAGTTGCAGGATACAAAATCAATGTACAAAAATCACTTGTATTCCTATAAACCAACAACAATCAAATCAGGAAGGCAATCCCATTCACAATTGCCACACACACAAAAAATACCTAGGAATACAGCAAACGAGGGAAGTGAAAAATTTACACAATAAGAATTATAAAAAAACTTCCCAAAAAGATCAGAGAAGACACAAACAAATGGGAAAACATCCCATGTTCATGGATACAAAGAATCAATTATTAAAATGGCTGTACTGCCCAAAGGAATGTACAGATTCAATGTTATTCCTATCAAACTACCAATGAGATTCTTCACAGAACTGGAAAAATTTATTTTACAATTTATATGGAACCAAAAAAGAGCCCTAATAGTTAAAGTAATACTAAGTGAAAACAACAGAGCTAACAAAGCTAGAGGAATCACATTACCCAACTTCAAACTATGTTACAGAGCTACAGTGACCAATATAGCATGGTACTGGCATAAAAACAGGTACATACACCAATGGAACAGAATAGAGATCCCAGAAATAAGGCCACACATTTATGACTATCTAATCTTTGACAAAACTGACAAAAACAAGCTATGGGAACAAGACTTCGTATTTAATAAATAGCACTGGGATAACTGGCTAGCTATCTGCAGAAGATCAAATCTGAAATTCTTCCCTGTACCATATAAAAAAATCAAGTCAAAATGGATTAAAGACCTAAATGTAAAAAGAAACCTGTAAAAGCCCTGGAAGACAACCTAGGCAATACCATCCTGGACCTAGGAATGAGCAAAGATTTCATGGCAAAGACATCAAAAGCAATCAAACAAAAACAAAAATTGACAAATGGGATCCTATTAAACTTAAGAGCCCCTGCACAAGAAAAGAAAATATCAACAGAGTAAATCGACAACCTACAGAATGAAAGAAAATATTTGCAAACAATGCATCTGACAAAGGCCTTATATCCAACATCTATAAGGAACTTGAATTTACAAGAGAAAAACAACCACATTAAAAAGTGGGCAAAAGACCTGAACAGACACTTCTCAAAAGAAGACGTACATGTGACCAAGAAGCATGTGAATAAAAACTTAACATCACTGATCATTAGAGAAATCCAAATCAAAACCACAATGAGGTACCATCTCACACCAGTCAGAATGGCTATTACTAAAATGTGAAAAACAATCAGCTCCATCATGGTGGATGGGAGGCAGGACTAAATTGCAGTTCTGACTTGGAAAGACAGAGGAGCTTGTGAAGGCTTGCATCATGAATTTTAGCTCCAGAAAGACTGCAGAAAAAAATCAGGAAATGCGAGAGGACCCACAGGTTTTCTGAAGAAAGTGGGCTGCTCCTGCAGAACCTGGGAGACACCCCAAATACTGTGAAGGCCCAAATTGCAGAAGTGGGAAAGGGAGATCCTCTGCCCCCAAACACAACCTCCCCTGGGAAAACTGAAGGTCTATTTTATGGGAAAAGATTACAACCTTACCTGGAGCTGAGTTAATTTAGAGAGCTGAGCAAAATACAGGAATAGAGGGAGCAGTAGAAAAGGCCCTGTGAGCTCGCTGGGTCCTCAAGCAGGCTATTCCTGTGTGGCATCACAAAGATCCTTTGGGAGGGTGACAAGAGGGAAATGCCACAGAGAGAAGGAAATCACCAGCTGAATTTTGGAACAATTTGAAGTCATCAAGAAGCCTCCTGGCCAGAACTGAGGGAAGAGTTCAAATCCATTGTGCAGACTAAATAGGCAGGGGAAGAACTAAAGTCCTACTTTCTTTCACAGCTAGGAGGTGGGTAGCCTGTGGCAAGTTCTCAGCCCTGCTTGCCGACTGTCTGGAAACAGACAGGGTGCCATTGGGGAGGCATGGTGGGAGTGAGACCAGCCCTTTGGATTGCATGGGAGCTGGGTCAGGCCTGTGACTGCCAGCGTTCTCTCACTTCCACGACAACCTGCATGACTCAGCAGAGGCAGCTTCCTTCTAGGTGCATAACTCCATTAACCTGGAAACCTCAGCCCCATCCCCCCTAGCAGCCACAGCAGGAGAGAGTGAGTCTGAGCTCAGACATGCTTAGCTCTGCCCCACCTGATGGTACTTCCCTACCCACCCTGGTATTCTGAGCACAAAGGGCATAAACTCTTGAGAGTTCTAGTGACTTACCCACTGCCGGTGCCTCTTCATACTATCACAGCTGATGCTCTCTAGAAAGAACTACCTCCTGGTAGGAGGCCAACCACACAAAAATAGAGCATTAAACTCCCAAAGCTAAGAACCCTCACAGAGTCCATTTCACCCCCCTGCCACCTCCACCAGAACAGGTGCTGGTATCCACAGTTGAGAGACCAACAGATGGTTTACATCACAGGACTCTGTGCAGACAACCCCAATATCAGCCTGGAGCCTGGTGGACTTTCTTGGTGACTAGATCCAGAAGAGAGATAACAATTACTACAGCTCAGCTGTCAGGAAGCCACATCCATAGGAAAAAAGGGAGAATACTACATCAAAGAAACACCCTCTGGAACAAAAAAGTCTAAACAACAGCCTTCAGCCCTAGATCTTTTCTCTGATAGAGCCTACCCAAATGAGGAGGAGCCAGAAAACCAACTCTGGTAATATGACAAAACAAGGCTCTTTAACACTCCCCAAACATCACACTAGCTCACCAGCAATGGATCCAAACCAAGAAGAAATCCCTGATTTACCTGAAAAAAAATTCAGGAGGTTAGTTATTAAGCTAATCAGAAAGGCACCAGAGAAAAGTGAAGCCCAATGCAAGGAAATCCAAAAATATGATACAAGAAGTGAAGGGAGAAATATTCAAATAAATTTTAATAATAAATAATAAATTTTAATAATAAATAAATAATAAATTTTAATAATAAATAAATTCAAACATTTGATACAGTTAGTACATAAATTTTGATGCATAAAAAAGTTAAAATGAAACACACTAATCTGTTCTGTATACACCTAAATGTAACTTTGACACTGAAATGGATTAAGACACTGCTCTTCTCTGAGGAACTGAGTTTTTATTCTAATTTCTGGATGTAGTGTGTGGGAATTATTATTTTTGCTGCTCTTTTTCTGAAAAAGATTGCCTTTCCCTAAGAGCTGTTGTTCCAATGAAAACCTAGTGTTTTCAACCCAGCATGAATGATGCAAGTGCTGAGGTCCTTTGGGCGAGACCCTCTGGGGTTATTGTAGCTCTCACTGGAGACGTGAGCTCTGCTCTCTTTTCAAAGTATCCATGAAGTCTCAACAGAACCCACCACACAACCCCCCACCCACCATGGTAGTTTGTCTTTCTCTTTGTCTTCTTTCCCAACCTCATCTTTATTGCCTGGATATAGCGAGGCCAGGGTAACCTTCTTGTCTCTATGTGGATAGTACGTTTGTACTTCTAGCCTTGGGATTTTTCCTTAATATTTGTCCATGCTAGCTGAGTTTGCCTTTTCAATAGCTCTCTTGACTAAATATACGGTAATTTCCAAGATATTTTGGTTTTATTTTATTTTATTTTTGCTTAGCTTTGCTTCAGGGGACTGAAGGTGAGGGATCAGTTCTTCATAGTGGAACACCTTACATCTTTCTCTGCCATCTTTGACGTTTATGAGGCATATTTTTCTACTTTGTTTGGTAGCTGTTGCTGAATTTGTTTCATTGGTGCTTTGCTCACTTTACTTACTTTTTTAGCTATTGAAGAAGAATGACTGTATCATGCTGCTGATTTCCCCGTCTTGGCTAGACAGTATGTCATCCTTTATCTACATTGGTCCCTGTAGTGAGGATCATGGAGTAGATGTTGCTGGGAGAGTGAGTATATGTGAAAAAAATGTGAAGGTATTTGGTGCTGATGAAGCAATATGCCCTACTGGGCAGGGGAGAGGCACAGAATAAGAATTCTTGCCATGTGGATGAACTCATTCAAACACAATGACTGCTTTATGAGACAATAGATAGATTTCTACCTCTTCTCACATGTACAGAGAAAATATTTCCAAAGTCTCCGGAATATTTACATGTATTACTATTTAATATAAACTTGCAAGTCTTTTTAAATGTGTTTAAAACTATCACAGTACTAAACATGAACTAGATGCATAATAAATGCTGAAAGTAAAAAGCCTGAATTATTTAAGTGAAAAGAGAAAAAGATTTAGATCCCAAATAAATGTATGCGTTTGTGTGTTTGTGTGTGTGCGCGCATGTTTGCTGGGCATGTACTTGTAAAAAGTAAAATAATAGAAAAGTATTATTCTTGGTACCCAGCATTCTAGGAATAATGTCTTCCACAAGATTATTAGAAAACTCTGCTACTTTGTAGGAGGAGCTTTGGATAACTATGAATAAGTCCCTTTACAGACTTAACTTTAAAAAACCATCTGATTTTTCTTTATTTTCTTTATTTTTATTGTAAATTGACATATTTTACTTGCATACATTTATGAGGTATCAGGTGTTGTTATGATTTATGACTACTATGTGGAATAATTAAATGAAACTAATTAACGTATTCAAATGATAATAAATATAACAGATAACAGGTAACAAATATTTTTTTATGGTGAGAATATTTGAAAGTTACTTTTTCAGCAATTTTGTAATGTACAATACACTATTATTAACCATATTCACAATGCTGTTCAATAGATCTCAGAAAAGCAGAACAAAACTTATTCCTCTTGTCTAACTGAGGTTCTGTAAACTTTCACCATCATCTCCCCATTTTTCTCCACCCAAACACGGAAGTATGTAAAAATTCTCAGTGCTTACAAAGTTTCATATACCAATTTTTGTAATGATACTTCCCCAGAACTCAATTTGACAGACTGAAGTATGTAGATAAGACAAAAAAAAAAAAAAAAAACACACAAACCAATGAAAATAAATATGTCCTTATTTGCATGTTTACAAATGAGAATTCAGTGTTTCCTTTCTCACCAGCTACAAAAGACTTCAGCCTACTGTGTATAAGGCACACAGCATCTGGATGAAGCTCAGCTGAGCTGTCTGGGGAAATACAGAGATTTTTATGAAGAGAGCTTTAAACCCAGCCATTAGCAAATCTGGATGGTTGCTGGTTTAACATTCCCTTTTTAAAGGGAATATATTATTGAATTTTCAAGAATCAGATATACATAGCATTTTAGATGAATGCATTAAGAAGTCTTCAGCAGTGATATTAGACATTGGGGCATGCTCTTACAGGCAATGGGTGGTGTCATAAAGAGCATATTTACATTCGTTTTAATTGTGGAATTTATAATTGGAAATTTAGGAAATAGTTTCATAGCACTGGTGAACTGTATTGACTGGGTCAAGGGAAGAAAGATCTCTTCGGTTGATCGGATCCTCACTGCTTTGGCAATCTCTCGAATTAGCCTGGTTTGGTTAATATTCGGAAGCTGGTGTGTGTCTGTGTTTTTCCCAGCTTTATTTGCCACTGAAAAAATGTTCAGAATGCTTACTAATATCTGGACAGTGATCAATCATTTTAGTGTCTGGTTAGCTACAGGCCTCGGTACTTTTTATTTTCTCAAGATAGCCAATTTTTCTAACTCTATTTTTCTCTACCTAAAGTGGAGGGTTAAAAAGGTGGTTTTGGTGCTGCTTCTTGTGACTTCGGTCTTCTTGTTTTTAAATATTGCACTGATAAACATCCATATAAATGCCAGTATCAATGGATACAGAAGAAACAAGACTTGCAGTTCTGATTCAAGTAACTTTACACGATTTTCCAGTCTTATTGTATTAACCAGCACTGTGTTCATTTTCATACCCTTTACTTTGTCCCTGGCAATGTTTCTTCTCCTCATCTTCTCCATGTGGAAACATCGCAAGAAGATGCAGCACACTGTCAAAATATCCGGAGACGCCAGCACCAAAGCCCACAGAGGAGTTAAAAGTGTGATCACTTTCTTCCTACTCTATGCCATTTTCTCTCTGTCTTTTTTCATATCAGTTTGGACCTCTGAAAGGTTGGAGGAAAATCTAATTATTCTTTCCCAGGTGATGGGAATGGCTTATCCTTCATGTCACTCATGTGTTCTGATTCTTGGAAACAAGAAGCTGAGACAGGCCTCTCTGTCAGTGCTACTGTGGCTGAGGTACATGTTCAAAGATGGGGAGCCCTCAGGTCACAAAGAATTTAGAGAATCATCTTGAATATATTAGAAAAAAAATAGCTCCTAAGAAATTCTTGTATGTTATATAAATTTATACTTCCTTAAGATTCTTTCATTGTGTATAACTTTGTGAATTTTACAAAGATATGCTTGGAATCAACACCATCCAAACATATCACAAATTAGGATATATGAAAGTATGTATATTACCATACAGAGAAGAATGCGAATACTATAAAGAGTTCTTATACAAACAGATAATATAGATTTTGTATCAATCATTCACCTTTTTTGAGATTTTTAAATGAGAAAACCTATAATGTATAAAATACATGTGTGTATGTATGTATGTGACACAGTTACTAAAAATAGGCTTCTTAAACTTACATCTCAATCTGGTAGATAAAGTACATAAAAGAATATGGAATTTTAGTACCTATATTAAGTGTTTTTAATTTTTGTATAATATTTAGTACCTGATTAGCGTGTATGCAAAAAAGTAATTTGCTTCGTTTGTTGAATTAGAAGCCAGCTGCCTTACTAAACTACCACATTTGCTTTGCTCATTCTCTTGGCTTTGCAGATAGAAAATTATATCATCTGCATATAGTGACTTATAATGATTATTTTACTTCTCCATTTTACTACTTGTAATTCTTTTTTGGTATCAGTTGTATAATGAAATGGTTTGAACATTCAAAGTGTTAAGTAATCCTGATCGTAACTGCTGTCTTTGCAAATGGAGTGTTTTCTAGTGTTTTAACAATAAACGTAATACTGACTCTAGCTTTGAGATAAATTCTTTTAAAAATATTCTTCAGGGAGAATATTTGTTTCCTATCTTCCTGTGTATAGTATTGTAATAAAATCTCTGTTAAAAACTATCAAATTTTTTGCTGTTTATTAAGATGATCATATTTTCCCTCTCCTCTGACCAATTAAAATAATGATACTTGTTAATGGTGGTACATAAAACAATGACATGTCTTCTAGTCTATGCATTCTAGATTTAATAAAATACAATATACATATTCATACACACGCACGCACACACACACACAGAGAGAGAGAGAGAGAGAGAGAGAGAGAAATAAAATTGCAACCTTAGAGGCAAATGGGAATTCAGAAAGCAGCTGCAAGGTAGTGAGAGGTAATCTCCAAAAGGGGAAGATAATCCCAGTTTGAATAACATGAAAAATTGTGTCAAAGAACTGTATGCCAGAAGACAGTTGATTCATTTTTTCAAGGGCTAAGGAATGTAACCGTAATCCTGAATTCTTTGCTAAAAATTTGTTCTGGGGTTTGAATTAAATAATAACATTCCCCTCTCCCCTTAAAAAAAGATGAGGGCTGTTTACTAAACATACGTCCTTACTGAAAATGCTAATAACCAATCTGCTTCAGAAAGACTGTTATGGACTGACTTGTTTGTCTCCAAAATCCATGTGTTGAAGCCCACACTCTCAATGTGACTGTATTTGGATATAAGGCTTTTAAGTAGGTAGTTAAGGTTAAATTAGGCCATACAGTGAGGCCGTAGTACAATAGGACTGGTGTCTTTATAAAAAGAGGAAGAAACAGGCATCTGTGGGCACAGAGAAAACACAATGATGTATGATTCCATTTATATACCATTCTAGAATATGGAAAGTAATCTATAGTGACTGAAAGCAGATCCATGGTTGCCTGGTAACTGGGGGTTTGATAAAGAATGGGCAGTGGTAAGTTGGAGGAATAACACAGGAACATAAAGGAAAGTTTTGGGGGTACTATATATGTTTGTTACCTGATTATAGTGATGGTTTCACATGTGATGAGTATCACATGGTGAGACACTCATGAAATTGTACACTTTATATCTGTACAACTTATTGCATGTCAAGTATACCTCAAGTGGCATATTAGAAACAACTCAGGAGGAAAACTGCACATAAGTATGCATTCTTAGAAAGCTTCTCTTTGCAACTTTGGAAGAATCAAATATTATTATTTCCTATTCTTATTTTTTGATCTTAGCCTGGGCCTTATGTTTACTGGAATAAAATATGTAGGAATTCTTGTTGTCTTATCTACCTTACTGGTTTGTCTTCCCCAGTAGTAAGTTTTTAAGGGAAGAAAGCTGCAGGGGTGTGTGTATGTGTGTGGGGGCGGGGTGGTGGGAGGGATAGGAGAGCAATAGCAGAGAGCTCCTCTGAAGTGAGTTCTAGCTTTCCTGGAGCCTAGGTTCTGCTTCATCATCGAATGCCCCATGAAAATTCAGTTTCAGAGCCTACTCCATTACCCCATTTTCATTCTTGTAGGAATTGGTGTGTTCCTCAGATTCAGCTCAATATCCTGGAAGATGCCAAGCCTGTAATGTCCATCCTACCTCTGCCTGGGTCATGTGTTGGCGCTCCTATCCTTGAAAGTTTTTTCTTAAAATTTCCCATTTTTGCCTGCTTAACTCCTCAATCTGGATCCCTCCAAATTCGAGGATCATATAGACAACATTACAGATCTTTGCTGATGTAGTTTATTGCTCTCTATTGATTTAAAAATTTTCTTGAAGAAATAAGAATATATTGGGATTTAACTCCACCGTGTTGTTTAGCAAACCTATACTTACTTACTTTGGAGTAAGATTTAACAGCCATAGAACAGATGTTGCTCAGCAGAGGTGTGGGGAAGCTGAATAAAACCCAACCTTTGATAACTCTAGGGGAGTGGGTATTACTGAGTAGAGGAGAAGTACAAAATGAGGACAATTCATGCTCTGCAGATGTTCCTCTGCATTCTCAATATTGTCCCTATCTGGCTTTAACAAAGAGGCTGCTGTGTGGGATTAATATAGAGTTCTATCAGTTTTCATAAGCCCTGTAAATGGTTCTCAAATGTTCCTGGATATTTTCAGTTAAGTATTAGAGAATATCAAGGGTAATTATGTTTTTAAAATATTTTGATATATAATATTTTTTAATGTCAGGATAAGCTTAATAAATATTAATGAAGGAAGCAAGAATTAATTATTAGAAAATCGAAGATTTTGAATCCATGTGATTTCCTGAGCCCTATATTCTTATTGCCAAAAAGACAGCAGTCATTCCTGGACAATAATCCTATAAGGTTATTCTGCAAAGTGTGTGTATACGGGAACTTGCAAACAATTAATTGATAAATAAATGTAAATTATCAGCACTCAGCATTCAGGAGTTATGGCTCCTCTGGATTCATTCAGTAAATTTCAATGCTTTGAATTATAAGAGCTTTGGATAAACTATGAAAATATCCCCTCAGTCTTCCCTCAGCATTCCTCAGTGGAGATGATTTTAGTGCTCAATATACTCCATCTACTAATTTACATATTTGCTATATGTTATACTTCTATCCATTGAATTTTAATGCAATTGATAACAATTAAAATTAATAAGCAAATTGTGAAGAGATTAGATAAAGCAAACATGCACAATGATGCAGAGAATTGTCTTTATTTGTTTATTAACAATGAGAATTCAGTTTTTTCTTTCATCATGAAGTATGAGAAATTTCACTTTATGTTAAGAACATACAGTATCTGGATCAGAATGCAGATAGCTGTCTGGGGCAAAATAATCTTTTTGTGAAAAAAGCTATGTGCCCATTCATTAGTACACCTTAGTGCTTTCTACTTTCATATTGAGCCTATAGTTTTTTTTTTAAAGGAAGAAATTAACTGCACATCCAATTAATAAGTATGTATAACAGGTACATGTGATAGATGAAGAAATTGTCAGCGTTGCATTTAGACATTGGAGCTCTCTCTTTGCAGCCATGCTAAATGCCTTGTATAGTATCCTCATTATAATAATAAATATATAATTCCTAATTGGAATTTTGGGGAATGGATTCATAACACTGGTGAACGGAATTGACTGGGTCAAGATGTGAAAGAGATCTTCGAATCCTCACAGCTTTGACTATCTCCAGAATTTGTCTGATTTCGGTAATAATGGTGAGATGGTTTATAGAGGAGCTGTAGTTATCTTTACAGATGAGCAGAAAGAAAGCCAGAGCTGCAAACTCTTGTGGTGAAGAGAATACATCACTAGGGGGAACCCATCCCTGGGAAAGAAGCTGTTCTTAAAATCAGAAGTGGAAATAACTTAGAGTAAAATAATCAGATGCTTGCTATCACAATGGCATTAAAAATTCGAAGACTAGGCCTTTTGGTTCCTTTGTGAATAATCATTTTCTTATTATATTTACTAGCTGGTCATTGTGTAATCACAAAGATTCTTTAGAAGTTGAATTAATAAACGGCTATTGTATTAAATTTTATTTTAATTACAATGGTTTTCCTTCCTTTCCTTTTTTACCTGAGTAGAATCTCTTGTTATTTTCTGGACAGAAAAACAGATCTGCATGTGGTGGTAATTTTACTCCTTCCATTTGAATATATGTATCTCTGTTATGTGCTTGTTTATCTAATATTAAATAAAATTATTCACTTTCTAATTATCCACAACATTGACAAGCTTTTTCTTTGTGCCTTTTTATTAGATAATTTTTCAGGGTGTTGCAGATACACATAAGGTTAGCAGCTACTTTGAGGTACACCATTTTAATCATGGTCAGAAGGCTAATCAAAAAAGTATTTTACAAGAATTGTTTTTTAAAAAATATATTAAATATTATCAAAGACAACGTTGGCATCTTTTGAGATGGTCATATTTTTTTTTCCTCTGCTGACTTCATTATCCAAAACAAATAATGAACATTCCTTAACATTCCTGGAATCAAGTCTGCTTGGTCATTTAACTCATATATCACTTTAATTTGTTTTAAATTATTTAAAGTGAGATTTATAGTTATTACTGTTAGAGTAGTCATATCAAAAAATTTTTTTTCAAGAACTTGGGGTATTTCTCTTCTTTTCAGCATTTTGTATAAATCAGCATACTAAAGGACTGCCTGTTAATGAGGAATCTTCCATGAAGGTGCTTTTGGGAGGAGTGAATTCTCTATTAAATTTCATCATATTTTACTTAGATATTAACTACTATAATGAGTTTAATATATTTTTAAGGTCATTTTGTATATAAGTCACTCCATATTGTATATCTGTAAAAACTGTGTTCAGTTTTTCATGTTTGCTTTTCAGAATGTAGGAAAAACTCATCTTTTAAAACACTTGTTTAAGCTTTACCTGATTACTCTGAAGATTATCTGTTTCCCTTATTCTTCCAGAATTTTCACAATCTTTTGCCAATTTTATTGGATTTTCAAGAAGTTATTACTGTTAGTTCAAAATTTATGAATCATTTCTTCTCATTCATTTAATCTTTTAAATTTTCATTAATTCTTATTTCTGTTCTCCCAAGTGTATTTTGTCTCTCTTTTTTAATTATTTGAGCTCATTGCTTACTTTTTTTTCAATACTCCTGGTTGCATTATAAAGTCATCAATTTCTAAAATGTTTTCTGACTATTGTGTAAATCAAGTCACATCAATTTTCACACGCAATTGCCCTTCAAATTATGCTGCCGCCTTGATGAAATCCATTCAGGTTTTCTTAAGAATGGTAAGAATCATAGGCAGGGACAGAACTGATCAGTGATAAAATAGGGGAAAATAGGTCTAGTGGCTTCTGGGGAATACAGGCATAGAACCATACTCACTTTCCTAGAAAACAAAATAAGTTACTCTCAAACTTGTTAAAGTTTCTCTCAGCTTCTGGGACTTTCTTTCATTGGTCCTGTTTTGCTTACATTCATAAGCTGACTAGACTATCAGGAAATGACCTGAAAATAATTGTGCAATTTAAATTCGAGCTAAGAAGACAGAGAAGGAAAGAAACAGTGGAACTCCTTCCCCAGGCAGATGACTTAATAAGGATAAGGAGGAAAGAAGCTTGCTGGAAACATCAAGGAGAAGGGGTCCTGGATGTTCTTACAATGTGAACATGGGTCTCAGATTCCAGAGTCCCAAACACTCAGAAGGAGATGCTATAATCAGAAATTGCAAGCTGATTATTTTATTGGTATATTGAAGTTAGAGCATGATCACATTATGTTTCAAGGCATTTGAAACACTGTCATCTTCTTATTCACTTCCTGAAAAAGACAAGGAAGATTATAGGCAAGACTTGACATGGCAGGAAATGTCTAATACCTCATTGGTTTACTGCGGTGAGGAAGATGCAAAACCATCCTTTTGCCCTCTATCCCTTCTACAGCCCCCCTCCTTAATATCATTTTCTTTGTTCACACTTTCTATGCCATTGCACGTAATGTGCTTTAAACTGTTGCTTAGATGAGGACGAAAAACGATTATTGTTAGGTTGTTCATGCTTTGTGGCTGTTGGATACGTTAAGGGTTATTTTCAGAAAGATGGGGACTGCAACATATCCTGTAATAGGGACAGTGTGAAAGCAGCCTTAATGTTCAGTGACAAGGATTGGTTAAGTAAATTATGGAAAAACCAAACAATAGCATCATATATAATTGTAAAAAAAAAAACTAACCAATAAACACTGAAGAGATCTAAATAAACTCATGTGAAAGCTAAGAAATAAATTTTTCCAATAAGTAAGACACAGAACTGAATATAAAGTGTGGTATTAGTGGTGGGAAAATTATATATAGTTATGTAGCAATAAATATTTCAAAGAGGAGTTTCCAAACAGTAAAAAGTGGGAGTTTTGGTAAGGGTAGAGGGGAGGAGAAATGAATTGCTATTTAGCTTGGTACATGTCTATTCAGTGAGATTAGTTTTTGTTAGCTTAAGCATGTATGACTTTAAATGTGAAATGTGTTTTAAAAAATGAGATACCATTTAACAGCTAAAAGTCCAAGGACCATTTAGCAGGAATACTGGACTTGAAATGCTAGTGTGAGGCAGGACTGAGCCTGTCCTGAACAAGGAGTGTTCAGGTAAAACTTTAAATAAATGGGAGTCTTTGAGTTTGAGGAAAGGAAACAGAGTGCCAAAGGGAGAACATGATTCTATGTCCTCATTCCCAACCCTATTTAAGAGAGGTAATTTGAAGATAGTGATTCTCAAAATTGGAATTGCCTTCAAGAGATTGTTTAAAAACAAGATCTTGCTACCTTATCCCAGAATATTTGAACAAAACTCATGAGAAATGTGTTCCAGGACACGGAAATATTAACAGCTTTTCAATAGATTCACTGGCACAATGAAGTTGGAGAACTGTAGCAGTTGGAGCCTTTGATGGATAATAAACTGGAATCATACCTATCATTGAATCCTAGATTACTGAGGAGACTGCCCCTGTGGAGGTCCTTGTGGGCGGCCCCCTTGGGGAGGTGGTCCCTGGGGCTTTCCAGGAGGAGGTGGGGGAGGACCTTGCTGATGGCCTCCCTGTTGGGGTGGTCCTTGTGGCCTTCCTCGAGGAGGACGGGGATGGCCTCCCTGTTGGGGTGGTCCTTGTGGCCTTCCTTGAGGAGGAGGGGGATGGCCTCCCTGTTGGGGTGGTCCTTGTGGCTTTCCCTGAGGAGGTGGTGGACCTTGTTGCTGCTGGCCTCCTTGTTGGGGTGGTCCCTGCTGAGGGCCATCATTCTGGTTCCCATCACCAGCAGAGGGTTGAGATTGCTGTCCTCCCAAAGGTGGTCCCTGACGCTCCTCATCTATGAACTGCTCAGAGTCTCCTCCATCTGTGTGAGTTGAAACAAGAAGAGCTGAGCTCATGCTGGAAAACCCTCCTGTCTTCATATCTCTCTGTCTTCACCACACGGCCGGCCCCTCTCTCCCTGACCTGCCTCTCAACTCCCAACCTCCCCCCTTCCCAAGGCTTCCTAATTAGAACTCCTCTTAATCCACATTAGGGTGGTGAAAAATCAAATTTCTTTACTCATGGTCCCCAGAATCAAGGTTGGGAGAAAACTGTTTATATCTCTGGGGCACTGATATTAGCCAATTCCTGACAAGGATGATAAGAAGACACTGGAGAACTGATCAATTTTTCAGGGAAAAATGGAGACAGAGTTTACTGAGAATTTATTGGGATTTACCTGATATTACCAAGGGAACGTCTTCTTGGCTGACATCTAGAAAAGAAGTACAGGATGATGGGAAAAGTTACTGCATGAATCATTCAGAGCTCATAGTGTTCTACGAGGATAAAGGACCTCTGATCACACCCTGTGCATCCCCTTTGAGATCTCATCAGCCACTCTCTGATGCTACCGGAAGTGGAAGAAGATGTAAGGGAAAGCAGGATTGTTACTACACTGAGCGTCAACCAGGAACTCAACATAGAAGGGCCCCTGTTTGTCCTCTCATGATTCCTTAAGCCTTAGTGCTTATTTAGTTAAAGGGCTCTTGAGTATTTCAATGAAATATTTGGGGATCCTTCTGCCCTCTTTCATCTGTAAATATGTTGTTTATGTTTGCAAGCTTTCTCAACAGGAGCCACCAGACATAGCCACTTAGATACAATCTTACAAATGCCCGTCCCAGCACATTAAAATACTACATGCAGGAGAGAAAAAAATGACAATATTTCACTCTGGTGATTCTCTAACTCTATGTAGACAGAGGCAAGTGTTTACCCAATTCTCTGCCTCAGCAATAGCTCTGACATGTGTTTATCTCCTTCATGGATACTCATCCACTGTCCAGCAAGGCCACCATCATCCCTGTCTACTGGGATCAGTATAGGATCTTCACAGCTGCACTTCCCTGAATCTGTCTTGCATTCTCCATATCCTTCCCAGCAGTCCCATGTCTCTATAAATGCAAATCTCACTCTCTCACTCCCCCGGTACAAATTCTTTATTGGGTTCTATTTGTGCAATCAATAAATTATGAGGTCTTGATGAGGAATGAAGGCACAACAGGTCTTCTGATCCTTGGCATGAGAACTCTTCAGTCCTATCTGTTTTCTCATCCTCCTCTCTTCCCTCCACTTTCCCCCTCTATAGCATTCGCCCGTAAACCCCAATCAGAGTCACAATATCTTCCCCCAATTCGGCTTACCTTCATCTAAGTCCTGAGCTGAGCTGAAGGCCAGCAGGGCCACTGACAGCAGAATCAGAAGCATCTTGCAGAAGGCTCTGGTGTCACTCCCAACTTTATGCTGGGAGAAACGTGTCAGCTCCCTTTATAAAGACAAGCAGGACAATGGCGCATTTGAGCTCCCTACCAGGTGGGCCTCCTCGCCTCAGAGACTGGGTTCTGCTTTGCTTACTTCAGGTCAAGTGTATCCCTCATTTCTTCTGGGACTCTAGCCTAGCAGGAAGGGTTGGGGAGGATGTTGTTTGTGGCTAATTTCTAAAAGGTACAACTATGACTTGGACAAATGTTTTGACGGAACTGTGTCCAAGCAATCAGCACAGTGTCAGGATTGAACTTTAGACATCATTTGTTTTTCAATCTGTTTGGAAAGACTGCTATTCTGCTTTCCACTGTGCTTTTCATTTGTGTGTATGTGAGTTTGTGTGGGTGTGTCAGGGGGTTGGGCAGCAATCCTACAGCTAACAGTGAAGACGGTCAATATGTCTGACTCTTTTGATAGCCTATTTCCATCTCTCATGATGTGTGTGCATGGATATTTGTATATTTAGCTAAATTTTTCATGTAATAGAGATGCTTTCTGCTTATCCGTGAGTTGTGTGAGGACAGCACACTGCTGGGTACACATAGATGACAGAAGGCTGCCCCGCAGCCTCCTCATGCTACAGGAAATTTCCAAACTCTGTGAATCTCACTACACTCAGGCAAGCGTTGGTGCTGTACAATACAGGAAAGCTAAAAAATTTGTATTTTAAAAAATATCTTTAGGGATTATTAAAGCAAAACTGAACACAGAAACCACCAAGGAATTTCTAGACCTAAACAAACTGAAACATGGTTCCCAAAGTGAGCCACACGATGTCATGTAGCTAAGACCTCCACTTTCTCCAGAATATTCTATAGAATTCATCATCTACTTTATTTCTTCTAACAAATACCGTAGTCTTCACCACTAATAACTAAGTGGCCATACTTATATATTCAACTTGATGATTTGTAATGCCTGTTCAAGCCTCAAATGCCTTGATTGGTCTTCTGTTTTTTACTCAGTATTTATGTCACCAGTTTCATCAGAGTTTTCTTTCACAAAGATGATTTTTTCTATGATATTCTAATACTAATTCTTTCTCATTCTCTTTCTTACATTCATTTGTTGATATTTTATATGCTGAGACTACCTTGTCGTTTGTAATTTTCTTCCTATATAGTTTTTTTCTCCCCACATGACTTGTGGGAGATGACATTTATTTAATCTTCTAAGCAATGGTGTATGGTACTCCTCACTATCTTTATTTTCATTTTTGTCTCTACAATTGGACAATAAACTATTAAGTTTCTGAAAAATCCTTCCAGGGTCCTGGATTGGTACTCCTCTTCTCAGCTGCTGATTGCTCTGTGATACCTAGAAATTCCCTGTTCCTCAATTCATAAAATATACTACTCGGTATCACCAGCTGCACTTTCCATTTCAGACCTTGTGTAGGCCTTGTGTAATTTTTCACTTTTTGTGCACGGCTAGTGTTTATTTGAGGATAGCTTGGTTGGAGGCATGGCTGAGAGGCCATGTGACAGAAAATCATAAAGACAAGGCCCTAGACAGATGTGCATGGGTGGATCCTGTACTGTGCATACGAGGGTCTGGTCTGGCCCTTCTGAAGAGTTGCAGATAACAAAACAAGAAGGCTTCCTAATAGATTAGATTTTTCTACAGACAACAATGTTCTCATAAGGGACCCAGGCAGACTGATATTTTCCCTGAAATAAATATAGACATATTTGAAGTGGGAATGCATTCTTAATTGGCAATTCTTCTCTGGCCCTGTGGAAACTGGATCAGTTTTAGCTGGGCTTGATGGGTTGTATCTTAGGCACAGGGTAGGTGCTTAAGCCAAGCAGCTCCCAGTGGGTTACTGGGATTATTTTCTTTGGTTTCACCAGATACTGTTTTCCATTAGACCTGGAGATGAGCAGTCCTGCCTTGGTGATTTCAGGTCAACCATCATGTCAAAAAGGAAGGCCAGAGAAAGGGAACAAAGAGGGGTGCCAGACAGATATTGCCTGATGATGTGGGTAACGGAGAAAGCTGCAAGCCTGGTGAAAGACAGATTTCTCCTTGGCAGCAGAGTACAGGAAAAGAACAGGAAATGCTCCTAAAGGTCGCTCAGCTCAGGTCCCTTCCATGACCTTCTCCAATGTCAACAATCAGCAAAAGAGACTAGCATATCAAGAAAGTATAAATACCAGCTATGCTCTCACCAGCCAAATCAAAAGAAGGGGTGATGGAAGAGCTGAAAGGGACACTGTCTGGGAGTGAGTGTGGGTGAAAGGGAGAAGTAGGACTGCTGCAGGAGCTTGGGCACCTAGAGTGGGTGGCAGCCGTCAACAACACAATTCCCTTCTACTATGGATGTTCACATTCTGAGGTCCTGAAGCATCAGTCTTCAACATATGAAATTTTAGGATTCATCTTTCATAACACATCCCAACTTTTTCTCTGTTACTCACAGGTGTTTACCTAGTGGTTCAAAAATCCTCACTCCCTCCAGGCACTACCCATTAGCTTATCTAATTTCTTCCACCTTCAAAATACATCTCAAATGTGTCCACTTGCATGATCTTTACTAGAAGCTTGTTGTTCGGCCCACAATGCTCTCTCCTGGAGGTCTTTAACAGCCTCGACCTGGTCCTGGTAACATTCTTCCCCCAGTACATCCCATATCAGTTCCCTCACGACAATCAGAGTGATCATTTAAAAGTAGAAATTAGATCATATCACCCTTGTGCTTCAAACCCCTTGTTTTTCCTTCTGGACTTACAATAAGGTCCAAATTTCATGACTCAGCTCTTTCACACCCACATGACTAAATCTTTTTTGAAGACCCGGAAGCTCTCTGAATGGAATATAAAGTAGGATCTTCTTCAACTTCACCTTGCTCTAGTTTGCCTGGAATACTGAAGGATGGTTTGCCAGGAAAGATGAACATTGGCAGAGGGGATAAACTTCTCCGAGAGTGAGTGAATTGCATTGAGTTGCTTGTCTGGCAGTTTATGTACATTGGAAGAATTATTGTATTCACTGTATCAACTAAGCAGTCTGATAATACAGTTAGCAAATAAACACAATGGTCTCTGAGACTTCAACTTTGCTTTGACTTGTCTAAAAACTTTGGTTTCACTATCATGGTAATCATCTATATTTTTTAATTTGATGTTGATGACCTATTAATATATATTATACATTTCACAATTAATTATCATATTTCTATTCTTTCCACCTATCCTAGCCAAATTGGTTATAATAGAAAACATTTTTAAACATTTACTATGTTCCACTTAATCATCAAAACCATTATATTAGGGACATATGATTGTTATCATTACCTTAGTTTTATAGATGACATGACTTAGGTACATAACAATGTTCTTATAAAGGTATTAAGTGGAATAGAAGGCAGTCAGTACTCAGAGTTTAGTGTGCACCACTACTCACTTGCTATTCATTTATTCATTTCATTATTACAATATGAGAAGGAATGAGGTTCAGAAAAGAAACATAAGTTCTGTTATTAGGAGATTATCAAGGTTAAGCTTTCCTAAGACTTTAACAGGTGAGGTGAAAAATATATTTTTCCTGAGGAAATAAGTTTGTTTTAAATCATAAGCACATTTACGTAGGCTTCCATTCACCTGTTTTCCTCCTTGCCTTCATATAAAGATACTCATACAAATTTATTCGTTTTTTGTGATTATGAAAACCCAGTCAATGTAGATCCTTTATGTGCTTTCTTAATACAAGCCACATGCATTTTTCTGCTGAGCCATATTAGCATTGGCAAAACTTGAGCCTGTCCTTTGAAATGAACCAAAAATGTTGATTCTCATCACAATGAATGTAAAATTTTAGAAGTCCAAGAGAGAGACTGGCCTGAGATTTGTGTATGAAGGGATAAATTTGTATACCACTTGCACAGATTTCAGTCTTCTGCCTGAGAGTGCCCCTGTGTCCTGGCCCCAGAGCTGGTGTTACCAAAACAGGTCCGGGTCATTGATATTATTACTAAGGTGTTATCTGAGCTCATGGTCTCATGACCAAGAAAATTAAGGAGTGTGGACACAAAAGGGTGAGGTTGGAGCAAAAGTTTAATAAGTGAAAGAAGAAAGCTCTCTGCAGTGGAGAGGGGAGTCAGAGTGGATTGCCACTTTTACAGTTGAATCCACAAGCTTTTATGAGAAACTGCTCTCCAACACATTCAAAAGCTAGCAGACAGCAAGAAACAACTAAGATCAGAGCAGAATTGAAGGAGATAGAGACACAAAACACCCTTCAAGAAATCCATGAATCCAGGAGTTGGTTTTTTTGAAAAGATCAACAAAATTGATAGACCAGTAGCAAGACTAATAAAGAAGAAAAGAGAGAAAAATCAAATAGACCCCCCAAAAAATGATAAAGGGGATATCACCACTGATTCCACAGAAATACAAACTACCATCAGAGAAAACTATAAACACCTCTATGCAAATAAACTAGAAAATCTAGAAGAAATGGATACATTCCTCGACACATACACCCTCCCAAGACTAAACCAGGAAGAATTTGAATCCCTGAGTATACCACTAACAGGCTCTGAAATTGAGGCAATAATTAATAGCCTACCAACCAAAAAAAGTCCAGGACCAGACGGAATCACAGCCGAATTCTACCAGAGTTACAAGGAGGAGCTGGTACCATTCCTTCTGAAACTATTCCAATCAGTAGAAAAAGAGGGAATCCTCCCTATGTCAGCCATTGAGTTGGATCATTGTAGATGTTCATCCCATTTGAGCCTTCAGATGACTGTGGTCCCATCCCTTATCTGATGGCAACTACATGAAATACCACAATGAGAGACTATCCACTAAGTCCAGGCAATTCACAGAATCGTGAGGAAAAAAGTAATAAACTGCTGTTTTAAGCCTGCAATTTGGGGAATGATTTGTTATATAAAAATAGAAACTTAGAATAGATGGAGAAATGAGGCTGGGCTCCGTGTCTCACGCCTGTAATCCCAGCACTTTGGGAGGCCGAGGCGGGTGGATCATGAGGTCAGGAGATGGAGACCATCCTGGCTAACACGGTGAAACCCCGTCTCTATTAAAAATACAAAAAATTAGCTGGGCGTGGTGGCAGGCGCCTGTAGTCCCAGCTACTCGGGAGGCTGAGGCAGGAGAATGGCGTGAACCCAGGAGGCGGAGCTTGCCGTGAGCTGAGATCGCACTCCAGCCTGGGCGACAGAGCGAGACTCCGTCTCAAAAAAAAAAAAAAAAAAAAAAACAGATGGAGAAATGAATAAAAAGAACTTATCACTTTAATCTCAAAGCAAAAAAAGAGTGAAAAGAGAGTGATAACTAGCAAAATTTTAATAAGACAGTAAAAGCAAGTTCAATGTTATCAGAAATGTTCATGAATTTAAATAAATTTGCTTGATCTATCAAAAGACAGAGAATAAATAAGAAAACAAAACACGACTATGTTCTGCTTTCAAGAGGCATACCTAAAGCAGAAAACCACAGTGACAGAAAATAAATGGGTAGAATCTACCACTAACTAATGAGCACAGTAACTGCTACTTATGCCTAATGTCTATTATCCTATCATTTGTTGGTGATAGAATCACACTATTCCCTTGGACAATTTGTGCCACAAAAACTTTCCTATGTATTTTTTAGTTATGTGAAAGATAGATGCTCTTCCACATGCATATATTCAATTGCTTGTTTATATTTGTCATATTTAACTGAATTATAACTAATAATCACATAACATTTAAAGTAAACAACAGTAACAGTTAAAGACAGGTGATTACAGAGTAGTAAGAATAAAACAATTCATCGAAGGCTGGGCATGTTGGCTCACGCCTGTAATTCCAGCACTTTGGGAGGCCAAGGCGGGCAGATCACCTGAGGTCAGGAGTTCAAGACCAGCCTGGCCAATGTGGTGAAACCCCCATCTCTACTAAAAATACAAAAAAATTAGCTGTGCATGGTGGCGTGTGCCTGTAATCCCAGCTACTCAGGAGACTGAGGAAGGAGAATTACTTGAACCTGGGAGGCAGAGGTGGCACTGAGCCAAGATCACACCATTGAACTCCAGCCTGGGCAACAAGAGCAAAACTCTGTCTCAAAAAAAAAAAAAAGGGCCGGGCGCGGTGGCTCACGCCTGTAATCCCAGCACTTTGGGAGGCCGAGGCGGGTGGATCATGAGGTCAGGAGATCGAGACCATCCTGGCTAACAAGGTGAAACCCCGTTTCTACTAAAAATACAAAAAATTAGCCGGGCGCGGTGGCGGGCGCCTGTAGTCCCAGCTACTCGGGAGGCTGAGGCAGGAGAATGGCGTGAACCCGGGAAGCGGAGCTTGCAGTGAGCCGAGATTGCGCCACTGCAGTCCGCAGTCCGGCCTGGGCGACAGAGCGAGACTCCGTCTCAAAAAAAAGAAAAAGAAAAAATTCATGGAAAAGATGCAATAATCATGAATTTGGACATACCTAACAATGCATTACGTAAATAGATAAAGCAGAAGCCTCACAAACAGAAACTGAAGAATCCACAAATAATAAGAATGTAAGACACACTTAATAAACTGCCATATCAAGCAGAAGAAAGAATGATATGGAATATTTTAAGAATGCAATTAGCAAAAATTAATTCAATACTTTTATGTAGAAATCTGTACTTGACAGAAATCTGGACACAAACATTCAAATACACATGAAACATTTACACACCTAAACCATGTACACTATAACAAAGAACAGATTCCATGGAATAAGTATTACGTAGAATGTAAAGTAGTAAAATGTTAAATCAATCAAAAAAGTTTGAAAATTGAACTATTCTCTATAACTGAGAAAAAGATGAACATTTCTACATAAAAGATAAATGTTTAGAACTCAGCAACGAAAAAGCTTTTCACAATCAAAATGAAAAAACCGGCTAAAGCTAAGAATCCATATCCATTAGTACATGTTTTATAAAAAAGTTTTCCAGATGAATGAGGCACATATTCACCTTCAGTTAAGAAAAATGAACAACAGAAAAATTTAAAGAAGGGTGAATAAGTTAAGAAGGAGCTAATATGTACCTTGCGCTTACTTAGTACATGGTACTGTTCTAGGTGGTTTAGGTGTGCTATTTATTTTATATTTATTCCTAAAAACAGTCTCATTCCCTTTGGTTTTTAAAGAATCAGAGGCATGACAGGGTGCTGTGGCACCTGCCTGTAATCCCCGAACATTGGGAGGTCAAGACAGGTGGATGCTTGAGTTCAGGAGTTCGAGACAAGCCTGGGCAATATGGTGAGACCCCACTGCCCTCTACAAACAATACAAAAATTAGCCGGGTATGGTGGTGCACCTTTGTAGTCCCAGCTACTAGGGAGGCTGAGGTGGAAGGATCACTTGAGCCTGCGAGGTCAAAACTACAGTGAGCCAAGATCGCACCACTGCACTCCAGCCCCGGGTGACAGCGTGAGACCTTGTCTCAAAAACTAAACAAACAAAAATCCAAGGGATAGCAAGGTTAAGTAAATTTCCCAAGTCATAGACTCAGCAAAAGGAAAAGTTAGAATTTGTCTGAAGGGCAGTAATTATGCTTTTGGATGTCAACCAAAATCAAAGTAGTAAATAAATAAATGAATGAATAAATAAATAGAAAATCAAAATATAATAGACAATGGTAGTACAACCAAAATCTTTTAAAGATTAGGAAATTCAAAAGTCTGATGGTACTGATCAAGAAATACGAGAAGCAGAAAAATTGATGAAATGTAGAAAATACTAAATAGCAGAGCTTTATATAATCAAAGTTCTAAATAATTTTATTCCAAAATTTAAAAACTCAGTTGAAATTGCCAAGTTTTTAAAAAGCATAGGTTAACAAAAATTTATATTAGTAGTAAAAAACTTTAATAAATCAACAATTTCAAAGATTTTGAATGGACTATCAAAATATACACAAGATATCAAATTCAGATGGATTTATAAAAAACTTTTACTAAGTTTAAAAATGTCATAATTTTTACCTTCTCCAAACTACTTCAGTGAACCTAAATGTTTTATTCTCATTTATTTTAAGAAGTTAAAAAATTATTCTCAAAGTGAGTAAAAACAGTAGAGGACAGCAAATAATGAGAAGGTAGGCAATTAGATACAGGCACAAAACTGCTAAAAAAAAGTGTAAAAGTAAATTAGTCTCATAATATATACTTAAAATATATTACAAATGAAAAGATTCATTCTAAGAATTTGAAGATAATTTAAAACTAGAAAGTAAATAATTTTAATTTACATAAAATTATCTCAACAGATGTTGCAAAAATGTTTAATCTAATTTAACTCCTAATCAAGATAAATACCCAAACCAAGTTTAAATAGAAGCAACATTTAATAACTTGTATGTCTACTAAACAAATACAGAAGCATAGTTATTAGTGTAACATAGAGCTTTTCATTTAATCAAGATTAAGACAAAGATACTTGTTTATTGACAATTTCGTTAGGTCATTTAACTAATACACTTTGACAAAAATATTGTTACATAGAAATTTGGATGGAAATTTAAAGAAATTATATACTAATAGTAGTAATTCCACCTAGATAATTTAAAAATCAACAGGAAAACTTTTGAAATAACACAAATTTGATAAGCTTGCTGAGTACAATATCAATATATATGGGCTAAAATTACACCTATTCACCAGCACTGGTCCATTAAAATGTGGAATTAAAAAAATTCCCTTTCTTATTACAAATAAGAACTATATTTTGATTATGACTAAGTCTCAGAAAAGTGTTTCATGATGTTATATATTGTGAAATTACATAACTATAATACTTTAGTGAAGGATTTGAACTATATAGATATGCAAAAATTAATTTTCAAAGACATTGATTATGCTCAAATTAATTCACATATTCAATATAATTCTAACCAGAATCTTAAAGAAATTTATTTTCAAATTGACAAAACAGTCCTAAATTACACATGAATTAAGTATTCAAAAATAATTCAGACAATTCTTGAAAAAGAAAATTAAGGTAGGGGTATCCAGTAGATAGCAAGACTTATTTAAATTATTTATTTAGTGGCTCATACTTGTAATCCCAGCATGTTGGGAGGCTGAGATGGGAAGATCACTTGAGTTAAGGCATTCAAGACCCACTTGAGCAACACAGTGAGACCTTGTCTCTAAAAGCATCAAAAAAGTAGCTGGGTATAGTGGCAACTGTAGTCTTAGCTACACAGAGAATCAAACAGGAGGATTGTTTGAGCCCAGGAGGTCAAGGCTGAAGTGAGCCTTAATTGAGCCACTCCAGCCTGGGCTACAGAGCAAGACTCTGTCAGGAAAAAAAAAAAAAAGATTAAAAAAATTTTTTTAATATTTTTTGAGACAGAGCAAGACCGTGTCTCAAAAAAATTATTAAAAAAATCAAAACAATGAAGGTTGTGACACAGAAATAAAATGTATATAATAAGTAATAGGTCAGCAGATCAAACTAAAGACAGGTCTGGTGAGACCAGATTGTTTATTCTTATCACATAGGAACCTCCGTACGTGATAGATTTGGCATTAGAAATCAACAAAAAAAAAACGTAGACTGTTCAACTAATGATATTGAGACCTCTGTCATTTAATATTGGGACAAAATTGTATTTCTAACTCACAACAAACAGAAAAACTACATTAGATGTACTATCACTTTAGATTTGAAAACAATTCTTTAAAACTTTTACAAGAAAATCAAAATAAGACTCTACTGCCTTTAATTTGAGGAAGCACATGTCATTAAGGAAAAGACTGATGAGTTCACATTTGCTGATAAAAATAATATAATCTGTCCATCCTAAGTTAGGTGTCCAACAAATAGTTACATGTCTATCCTCTCACCTTTCATGTCCTCCAACACTTCTCTTTAAAGAGTGGCATAGAATAACATCATGAAAGAATGAGGAAACTCCAGTGCAACAAAAAAATTATAGAGTTTATAAATATCTTTTTTTGTTTACAAATATATTGTGTGAGATAGATTTTTCCATCTTAAATATGTGAAGAAAAATTAACCCTGCAATAATTAGTATTGTAACAACAATATTGCAATTTGAAATAAGACAAATGTGTAACATACTTCTTCTTCCAAAGTAAATAAGAGGATTAAATATAGAATTGAAAAAGTAAACAATCAAACAGAGAAAATACCAAGAATTGTTTTGTAATCTTGAAAGTTGGGAAGACATGTTTAAACATGATATTAAAGGCAGAGTACATTTAAAATGAATGCATTTAATAGCATGACTGGAAGAATTTCTGAATGCCTCAAGAAAATAAATATAGAAAGGTAAATAATAGATTAAAAACTTTAAAGTCTATTTGCAATATAAACAGTAGAAAAAAATTTAATACTTTTACTGTTTTATAAAAAAGATAAAAATAATTTTAAAAACCAGATTATCATATATAAAAAATTCAGCCTCACATTTAAACAAAAACGTAAGTTTAGTATAGTACTATGGTAAAATGAATAACAAGTGCTCTATTTTGCATTTCAAATTGGCCACATTTTGCTTTTGTAAATTGTTACATAGAATTATAATGTGTGCAAAGTTACGAGCAGTCTCGTTTAATGCTAGTGAGAGCTTACATTGGTGCATGCATTTTGTAGGGGACTTTGTCAATATTAATAAAAGTCTTAAATGTTTATATAGATTATAACCTGCTTTTTGGACTTCACCCATTTCTACGACTTCATCTTACAAATAATTGGAGATTTCACCACAGAGTTTTGTCTTAGTCCATTTTATGTTGCTATAAAAGAATACCTGAAGTTGGATAATTTATTTTTTTTTGCATTTTTGATCATGTGGATCTTTTAAAAATGTATTATTTATTTATTTATTAAGTTCTGGGGTACATGTGCAGGATATGCAGGTTTGTTACATAGGTTAATGTGTGCCATGGTGGTTTGCTGCACCTATCAACCTATCACCTAGATATTAAGCCCAGCATGCATCAACTCTTTTCTCTAATGCTCTCCCACCCCCGTCCTGCCCCAACATGCCCGCTAAGTGTTGTTCCCCTCCCTGTGTCCATGTGATCTCATTGTTCACCTCCCAATTATAAGCGAGAACACGTGGTGTTTGGTTTTCTGTTCCTGCATTAGTTTGCTGAGGATAATGGCTTCCAGCTTCATCCATGTCCCTGCAAAGGACATGATCTTGTTCCTTTTTAAGGCTGCATAATATTGAAGCTGGACAATCTATAAAGACCTAATGTTTCTGCAGGCTGGGAAGTTCCAAAAGCAGGCACTGATATCTGCTCAGCTTCTGGTGAGGGCTTTCCAGCTGTATCTTGACATGGCAGAAGGTCAAAGGGGAAATGGACATGTGTGAAGAGGCAAAACCTGAGGAGCCTTCTGACACTGTGACCACTCAGTCTTGCAGAAACATTTCCATGAACACGAATTCAGTCAGAAGAGAACAAGAACTGACTCAGTACTGCTGGTTTTGAGTTCATTCCTGCTACTGAATTCAGAAATGTCCTGCCAATGCCATTCTTCAACATCCTGTTAGTCTCCTAATTGGGGACTGTAATGTGTACATAAATTGAAGTTTAGGGTGAAGCAACAAGTGAAAACAGTGAAAGGAAAACTGTCCGTAACTGCATCTGAGAACACTAGACTTCACTGGGTATTCTTTTGAATATGGAAAGTTATCACCTGTGGCTCTTATAAAAAACTAAAATATTTGTTAGTATGAAAATTGCCAGCTGAATCATTTGAAAAATGATTGCTCTGATTTCATAAAGATCAATATGACATGATCCTACAGAAGAACTGATTTTAATGTAATTAACAACAAATTAACAATGAGCAATGGAATTAATGGACATAGCAAGAGAGAAGTACTGAAACAATAAATATTAAATATTTAATCCCTTAATTATTGTATTAATCCCTTAGTTGAAAATAAAAAAAATTATAAAATTAGGAATTTTTCTCTCTGAAGAGAAGCCAGGTATAGAGGAGGACATTTTCATGGTGGTATTAACTATGGAATTCATCACTGACTTAATTGGCAAGGAACAGGATATCTGCTTCAATGACCTCATTCTCACCAGCTTATCTCATACGTACAAATATATACATATCTGTATATATGAGTCTCACCCATGTATACATATATTTAAATGTATACATATATATGAGTCTCACTGTCACCCAGGCTGACTGGCAGTGGCATAAGCATGGCTCACTGCAGCCTGGGCCTTCCGGGCTCAAGCAATCCTTCCATCTCAGCCTTCTAAGTAGCTGGGACTACAGATGTGCACCACCATGCCCAGCTATTTTTTTTATTTTATTTTATTTTATTTTATTTTATCTTATTTTATAGAGAGGTGGTCTTTTTATGTTGTTCAGGCTGGTCTCAAACTCCTGGGCTCAAGATATCTTCCCATTTTGGCCTCCCAAAATGCTGGGATTAGAGGTGTGAGCCACTGTGCCCGGCTCAAATATATTTGTTGATGATAACACTAATCCATTTCTGTGGCACTTTTTTTCAGGTATTTATAGCACCAGTAAAATGGGGAGAATGATAGTTTGCTTGGGTTTCTGAATGGTCCTTTTGCATATTTGTTTACCACCTACCTCTATTTTTCACTGTCTTGGTGAGAGCCCATTCCTTCCACCAACTCTTTTCATAGCTAACATGACAGTTTATGTGGTTGTTACTGTTATTTTCTATGGTTCTCTATCTGTGGCAGGTCTCCCTTAAAGACAAGGAAATGTTCTGAGTTGGGGGAAGAATATAAGTCTCATTAAAAAAGATGTAATTTTAGAACTAGGAAAAAAAGTGTAATCTTCAAGAGATTCTCATATTGTCTGTGAGCTCCCATTTGTCTCATAATATGTTAAACTGCATCTCTGGAACAGGGTTTGATATGGTTTTTCTGTGTCCCCATCCAAATCTCATCTTGAATTGTGGCTCCCGAGTAATTCCCATGTGTCATGGGGAGGAACTCAGTGGGAGGCAACTGAATCGTGGGCGGGTCTTTCCCATGTTGTTCTTATGATAATGAATAAGTAATTCTCATGAGATCTGATGGTTTTATAAAGGGGAGTTGCCTTGCAAACTCTCTCTTGTCTGCTGCCACGTAAGATGTCCCTTTCCTCTTTCTTTGTCTTCCACCATGATTGTGAGGCCTCCTCAGCCATGTAGAACTGTGAGTTCATTAAACCTCTTTCCTTTATAAATTACTTAGTCTTGTGTATGTCTTTATTAGCAACATGAGAACAGACTAATACAGGGTTTTAGCTCAACATGTGTTAATAAGGTCAACTAAGGCACACTAAAGTTTTTTAAAAGTTTATTTGCAAATGATGGTTCATAAATTGGAAAGCTCCAAACTGAGGTGGTTCCGGAGCTCTACCGAGGGAACGCGATGGGGATGCTTTTATAGGACAGACAAAGAAGAAAAGCAAAGACAGGACAGATGAAATAAGGTAACTTTATAGCTAACCAATCAAATGTTTGGCTATCCTGTTGGCTGTCTTTGATTGGTTGAGTTTAAGTTCTGTTTTTCTTTACTATAGGCATTTATAAAAAATAGCTCAAGTTAATTTTTGCTTACTTTTGTAAATCAATCAGTTTTAAGGTCATATGAGACCTAACTGGCTTTGTCTGCCTAGGGATTCTTCAGACCTGGCCTCCATTTTAATATACTTTGACACGTGTGACCTAGTTTGGGTTGGCATTTCTTTCAGAAGCACAATTTTTTAAGAAACTCAATTTTTTAGTCTACTTAATTCCTGTCAGCTTCACATACAAGCAAACAAGTCACAGTTTTTGTCTAGTCTGCTGCTTCTTATATTTGCTGTGTTTTGTTGCTTTTTCACCCCTCTGCTTTTCTCTCTGGATTTAATATCAGATACTTTGAGCATTGTAAGGCTTCATTCAGGAAACCAGATATTTAATCACTCTGCCTTGATATTACCTTGTCAAACTGAAAGAGCAGTAACTGTCAGTTGAACCTTTTTCTGTAAATATAATCTAGTCAGAATTTTTAACATGGATGTAACAACCATACCCTTGAGATAATCCTAGTCTTAAGGCTGAGTTTTTTTGTTTGTTTGTTTTTTGTTTTTTTGAGACGGAGTCTCACTCTGTGGCCCAGGCTGGAGTGCAGTGGCATGATCTTGGCTCACTGCAAGCTCTGCCTCCTGGGTTCACACCATTCTCCTGCCTCAGCCTCCCAAGTAGCTGGGACTACAGGTGCCCGCCACCATGCCAGGCTAATTGTTTGTATTAATAGTAGAGATGGGGTTTCACCGTGTTAGCCAGGGTGGTCTCGATCTCCTGACCTTGTGATGCACCTGCCTTAGCCTCCCAAAGTGCTGGGATTACAGGCGTGAGCCACCGTGCCCAGCCATGGCTGAGTTTTAACCAGGCTTAGAAACTCAAATACTATTCAGTGTTGAGAAGCAGTTGCCTCTTCCAGCTCTGCAAAATCTCAAGTTTCTAGACTCTTCTTTCTGATATATTTTTTTCCTGCTTGCAAAGTAGTATAAAATTGTCAGAATCAAAATGAAGTCACTTGTGTTAAAACTCTGACAAATGGAGCTGGAGAAGGCCATGAGGGGAGAGTTCTTAATGTAAATACGACTTATAACAAGAGCTACCAGAAAAGACTCTACAAAACAACAACATTGCACAAAGGCCACTGCAACCCTACACAAAAAGATACTTCTGCAAGGACATCTGCTCAGAACCTCCTTGTCTAACCTTAGACAGGTGTCACCCTTGTTCCTGATCCTTGGATCCAAGGTTAATTATCTCAAAACAATTATGTAATCTTCCTCTTTTAGAAATCCTTGTCTTTTCTAATGTCCCTGAATACACACATAATTTACTATGGCACATGTATTCTCATTGCAATATTACTCCCAAATAAATATCATTTTCTTTTAGAGCATCTCCCTCTGTTTGCTATTTAGCTAGACAGTAGGCAATTATTTTCTAAAGTCAATTTTTTTAATTGTCAAATGAACCATTAATATATTCAATTATATTTTTTTTCTAGAGTTACAAAACTTTCAAATATGTGATTTACCTCCCACATAACCACAGGTGACTGCTATCGAATGTTTTGCCACTCCCTATCTTGTTTTACAGTAAACAGTAATGTTTTTTCTTGCCACTCACTGCCAATGAATCAAGTATTAAGCCAGTGTCACATAAGTTAGGTGTTTTGTTTTAGTAACATACCAGTTCAAGAGGCCAGTCTCATACTTGCCAAGATAGCTTAGTCTATGCTGTACTAACAAGATCCCCAAAGCTCAGGGACTCCACGTAGGAGAAGTTTTTGTTGTTTGTTTTTGTTTTTGATTTCTGTTACATGTCCTGTGCTCATAGTGGTCACAAAAGAATCCAGGCTGATAGATGGTTTATTGACCCTTGTTTGAGTGTCAAGGCAAGAAGATGAGAAATTTGCAGTCTTATAGTGGTGAGTAAATGCTCTCACTCTGAAGCAACATGTCATTTCCACAATATTTTATTGACCAAAAATTTACATAATATACAACTTCAAGGGGGAGAGGGGACTCCTACAAGACTACATTTCTTATCCTACAAGGAATAAAATGTTAGCATATAGCTCTAGGTCCCATTTTACGACCTCTATGCTATGTACAAGATATATATCTAAATCCTAATAACAAAGAGAAG
The DNA here is from genome assembly GCF_000001405.40 of Homo sapiens. Classification (NCBI taxonomy): domain Eukaryota; kingdom Metazoa; phylum Chordata; class Mammalia; order Primates; family Hominidae; genus Homo; species Homo sapiens. The sequence continues at coordinate 112,256 of NT_187658.1, read as the reverse complement.
TTAAAAGTAAAATTTAGAAAAATCACACCATAAAACACTAACAAAAATAAGCTAATGTAATCATTTTAATATATACTAAATAGATTTTTTTTTTTTGAGACGGAGTCTCGCTTTGTCACCCACACTGGAGTGCAGTGGTGTGATCTTGGCTCACTGCAAGCTCCACCTCCCAGGTTCCTGCCATTCTCTTGCCTCTGCCTCCCGAGTAGCTGGGACTACAGGTGCCTGCCACCATGCCCGGCTAATTTTTTGTAGTTTTAGTAGAGACTTGGTTTCACCATGTGTTAGCCATGCTGGTCTCGATCTCCTGACCTCATGATCCACCCGCCTCGGCCTCCCAAAGTGCTGGGATTTCAGGCGTGAGGCTAAATAGATTTTAAGGAAAAAGACATTAGAATAGATAATGTCACCTCATGTGAGTAGAGGTTATATTTGCCATGAAGATACTACAATTCTAACGCTCTATGCACTCATCAGCATGGCATCAAAATATGTAAAGTAAAAGTTGACAGGACTTCTAAAAGACATAGATAAACCTATACTCATAGCAGGATAGTTTAACATTAAATCTCAAGAAATAATAGAATAAAAAGACAAAACTCAGAAAAGGTAAATAGGATTTAAATAACATGATTACAAATAGATCTAGTGGATGTATGAAACACTGCACCCCAAAGCTACAGGATACACATTATTTTCAGCAAACACAAAACATTTATCAAAATTGACCATATATGCATAACATAAATTTTAGCAGAGAAAATTTTATGTAAATGGAAACTCGAACATATATTTTAAAAATAGTCTATGGTGGAAGAAAAATCACAATAAATTTAGAAAATATTTAAAATTAAGTATAATAAAATATAGTAAAACCTTGTGAGAAATGCTGAAAAATTCTAAGAGGAAAACGTATGCCAGGAATATAACAGCAAACATACTCAACGGAAGTAAAAATAATTAAATAACAATATAAGAGATGAAATTAATGAAAAATAATACATCTGAAAAGATCGACCAAGACAGACTTGAATAGACTAACAAAATAGGCAAACTTCTGGTAAGATAAATCATGAAAAGAAAAGCAAATAATATGAAGAATTTAAAGGATATATTCTGTTGGTATTAAAAATTTAATAAGATGATATTATAATCAAAATTACATGAAAACATAAATAATTGAAACTGACAAATATCTAGAAAGTCGTAACTGCCAAAACAAGACCAGAAGAAATAGGCAACGGAATGGTTCCAGATCAAGATCATAGAAATGTATGCTCATGTACTCAATAATAAGTTACATGTTAAAGAATGTTCGTAGCATCATCATCATCATAGTCTCCAAACTCAAAATAAACCAACTTTGTGTTTCCACTAGACTAGATAAATTTTGAATTGTCATTCCATTAATACTATACAGCAATTGAATAAATGATCTATCTCTATATGCAACATGATTAATTTTAGAAACATAATATTGATCAAAAATAGTTAAATTCAAAAATATTGTGTACAGTATTATTCCATTCATGTGCAATCCAAAACCAGGCAAAACCAAGCTAGTGCTTAGGGATACATATTCAAATTAAAATATACAAAGTTAAACAATAACGTGATTTGAATTGCAGATAGTTGTTACTTCTGGAATGAAGATAGGGGTTGTGATTAGAAAGGAGCAAATAAGGTGTTATGGGGTTTACAAAGTTCTCTTTCTTGCCATGGGAGGCTTTTAAATTAGTGTGCACTTTATACTATAGCATTTAAACTTCATTAAATGTTCTATATTTGTTATATGTAACAATAATAGGCAGCAAAAATGAAAAAGAGAAAAGAAATATTTCTAAACAAATGATATGAGGTTAGCTAAATCTTAATACCAAATTCTCATAGGCACAATATGAGAAATGAAAATTAAATGTCAATATTCCTTAAAAACATAGCTGCAAATATCCTAACACAACGTTGGCAAACTGCATCCATCAGTGACTTAAAAAATACTTTACATACTCAAACCTTTCATTGTTTCCTCTTCCTGCCCTTTGCCTCATTTTCCTTTTCAGTTCAGACTGCTGAAAAAGTTTTTCTGTGATGCTCCCTAGCATCTATTCTCTTTCTCTTATAGAAGTGAGAGACTACATCTCTTTGATTAAATTTATATTTTTAAATGTTTTCTCTTATGGAAACACACCAGGAAAATGCAGCTCAGAACCGCAAGCCTGTTATCCATTCTCTATGTCTTTGTCATGTGTTATATCACAAGTTCTAAAAACTGTGGTATTTTTTCATATACCAGCAAGTACAGTACCATTCCTCAGGCCTATTTGTACAGATTTGGGGTATTATCAAGTTGTGACCGGCATCCCCAAACCCTTTTCTCTAGATAGGTAGGAAGAACACCCTAAAATGAAAAAGTATAAAAGATCTCTTCAGCCCTGGGTCAAGAATGCAAATGGAAGACCACATGCCACATAGCTACATATTTAAAGGTCATAAATATACAAACCTAACAAACTGTTAAAGGAGACATTTTCTATTCTATCTTGACAAATATACCATTATAACAACAAAATAGAAAATATCTACCTATTTTAAGTTATAATTGAAACTTGCAAATCATTAAAGATGATGCAATTATTTTGTAAATTTTTTAGTACTCTGTAGATCACCCAATAAAGATTGCATGAGTAATAAAATACAAACATTCATAATTCACAAATTATATCTTTATTAAATAAAAATAGCTTTGTATTCATCTAGCTAAATGGCTACTTATTATCTTATAATCAAGATAAAGTGTTTTATTTATATTAATTTTGAATTAGACAATCTTTCTTGAGTCTCCACGTTTTCAGAATTTTGGTAATCCACTTTTTTTCGGTAGTTTTTGAAAGAGTGGGGCGGGGTGAGGAACCTTGACTCTTCACAATGAACACATTAGTCCCCGCTTATCTGCAGTTTCAGTGACCCAAGGTCAACCACAGTCCAAAAATAGGTGTGTACAGTACAGTAAGGTATCTTGAGAGAGTGAGAGACACCACACTATATATTTTAACACATTTTTTTACTTTTTATTTTTTTAATTTTTATTTATTTTAGATACAGGGTCTCCCTATGTTGCCCAGGCCGGTCTCAAACTTTTGGGCTCGAGCGGTCCTCCCGCCTCAATCTCCCAAATTGCTAGGATTACAGGGATGAGCCACAACCCCTGGCAACTTTTATTATAGTATATTGTTTTAATTGTTCTATTTTATTATTAGTTATTTTTGTAATCTTTTACTGTGCTTGATTTACAAATTAAACTTTATCATAGGTAGGTGAATACAGGAAAAAAATATATTGTATATAGAGTTTGGTACTATCTGCTGTTTTAGGCATCCACTGGGGGTCTTGGGACATAGGCCTCATGGATAAGGGGAACTAGTGTATCTATTTCTTTGCTTGGTTTTCAGTTTTGCAAGTTATGATGTAATATAGTACTGCTTTCTTTGGTAGCTGTTGCTGATTTTGTAAAATTTGTTTTTTTATCACTTTTAAGTTTAAAAAAGAAATATGAGGGGAAAAGCGGATAAAATGTGAAGGCATTTGGTGCCTATGGAGGGATGGTGGTGAGCACTGCTAAGTAGTGATGAGGCAGGGAATGAGAAAGATGGATGCTTTGTAAACGAGTTTCTCTTTAGTCACAGTATTGACCAGATCCAGCTTTAGCTCCACAAGAAATTGAGCACTCTTTTGAAATAGCATAGGTAAGTCTTTGCATATTTTATAAAGCTTCATTGGCTATGCTATTAGCCATAAAAGCTTCATTTAGCTACATATTCTATGAATCAGATTTTTATAATATTTGTACCTCAGAACTCAAGCTGGTTGAATCTAATTTTCTATGCTCAGACAAGGCAAAAAAGTACAAAACAATGAAAGAGAATATATCTTTATTTGCATGGTTGCAAATGTGAGTTTAACTTTGCTGCATAATCATCTATGAAATATTTCTGCCCATGGTGAAGACATAAATATCTTAGCTAGGGCTCAGCAGAGAAATTGAAGAAAAATAAAGATATCACCAGAACAGTTATGTGAAGATCGATCAGCAAACTTTAGAGATTTCTGCTTTGACGTTGAGCCAACAATGAAAGAAGGAGCAGAAAAAGGAGAAGGAAGAAGAACTCCACTGGACACTCAAGGATGTGAATAGCATTTTAGATCAGTGAATAACCAGCAGTGACATTAGACATTGAACTTTCTCTGTTCTGACATGGAAAGTGCCCTGCCGAGTATCTTCACTCTTGTAATAATTGCAGAATTCATAATTGGGAATTTGAGCAATGGATTTATAGTACTGATCAACTGCATTGACTGGGTCAGTAAAAGAGAGCTGTCCTCAGTCGATAAACTCCTCATTATCTTGGCAATCTCCAGAATTGGGCTGATCTGGGAAATATTAGTAAGTTGGTTTTTAGCTCTGCATTATCTAGCCATATTTGTGTCTGGAACAGGATTAAGAATTATGATTTTTAGCTGGATAGTTTCTAATCACTTCAATCTCTGGCTTGCTACAATCTTCAGCATCTTTTATTTGCTCAAAATAGCGAGTTTCTCTAGCCCTGCTTTTCTCTATTTGAAGTGGAGAGTAAACAAAGTGATTCTGATGATACTGCTAGGAACCTTGGTCTTCTTATTTTTAAATCTGATACAAATAAACATGCATATAAAAGACTGGCTGGACCGATATGAAAGAAACACAACTTGGAATTTCAGTATGAGTGACTTTGAAACATTTTCAGTGTCGGTCAAATTCACTATGACTATGTTCAGTCTAACACCATTTACTGTGGCCTTCATCTCTTTTCTCCTGTTAATTTTCTCCCTGCAGAAACATCTCCAGAAAATGCAACTCAATTACAAAGGACACAGAGACCCCAGGACCAAGGTCCATACAAATGCCTTGAAAATTGTGATCTCATTCCTTTTATTCTATGCTAGTTTCTTTCTATGTGTTCTCATATCATGGATTTCTGAGCTGTATCAGAACACAGTGATCTACATGCTTTGTGAGACGATTGGAGTCTTCTCTCCTTCAAGCCACTCCTTTCTTCTGATTCTAGGAAACGCTAAGTTAAGACAGGCCTTTCTTTTGGTGGCAGCTAAGGTATGGGCTAAACGATGAGAAACTCACAATTTCATAAGCCATTCAGACCACAGATTATTGAATATTGCAGACAGAAACAGGAGTCTACAAGGAGTTTAAAAGATATTTTATGCTTCCCCTGGTTTCTTTTATTGTGAAGGTCACTGTAAATGTTTTAAATTCTTCTCTATAATAGCATCTTACCTAAGAATATTATGTATTTATGACATGTATTTCTACATTATTAGGAATTTGAAACTTATTTGAGGAAATTATTGGCAGATTCTATTGTAAATTAAAAACATATACTACAGCATACTTAGATGTTAATTGTAAATCTACAATCTTTTGTTTGGCAATGGCTCTTCAATTCTAAATCATTCATTGAGATGGGTGATTTAGGTAATTATTTTATTATCTCAAGTACTCCTATTTAAATGGTGAGCTACAGATAATTAGAACAGTTATTTGGAATAGAATTAGGGAAGTTTGGACTTGCCACTATTACTATACTGATGTGTTGAGAGAATTGAGAGGGTTAAAAAGTTTAATATGAGTAACTGCCACATAAAAAGATAACGGTTTTTTAGTAATTATATTGTATGTATGTGTACATACATATTTTACATTATGCCTTTTAAAGTAAATATTATTGAGGTATAATTTACATATAATAAAATGCAACATGTTAGTCCACATTTCAGTTAGAGTTTTGACAATGTATACACTTGTGTGACCACAATGTCAGTGCCCTTTGCAGTTTACCCTCTCCCCTCCAGCCCTTTTTCCCAAGCAACTACTTATCTGCTTTTGGTAACAATAAGAGAGTTTTTGATTTCTAGAATTTTATGCATCTATATATCTATAGATATAGATATATAGATGCCATATATACACACACACACACACACATACAGTTATAGAGTGTGTATTGTTATATGTGAGGCTTCTTTAACTCAGCATAATGTTTTTGAAGTTCTTCTGTTTTGTTGTATTAATCAGTAGTTTGTTCCTGAGCAGTGTTCCTGAGTAGTGTTGGATATACCACATTAAAAAATTTCTCTTTCCTGTTAATGAACATTCAAATGGTTTTCAATTATTGGCCATTATAAATAAAACTGATATCAACATTCATGTATTTCTCTTCTTCTGGATATACAATTTCCTCACTCTTGAGTAAATACCTATGAGTAAAAATGTCAAATCATATGATAAGTGTATGTTTAACTTAAGAAAAAACTGCCAGAGTTCTATAGAGTGGTTGCACCATTTCATACTATTGCCAGCAATATACGAGTGTTTCAGTTATTTCACATTCTGGCCAACAGTTGGTAGGTACTCTGTTTTGTTTTCTATTTTGGCCATTCTAGTCAGAATGTAATGGCATCTCATCATAGTTTTAATTCACATTTTCCTAATGGCTAGTGAGGCTGATGATTTTTTCATATGCTTTGGGTCATTCATACAACCTCTTTTTATGAAATGTTTGTTTAAACCTTTTGCCAACTACTTAGCTTGATTCATTGCTTTCTGTTTTTATTACTGAGTTGTAAATGTTCTTTATATAGTCTCTGTATTAGTCCATTTTCATGCTGCTGATAAAGACATACTCAAGACTGGGTAACTTATAAAGAAAAAGAGGTTTAATTGACTGACAGTTCCACATGGCTGGAAAGGCCTCACAATAATGGCAGAGACAAAAGTCACGTCTTACATGGTGGCAGTGAAGAGAGAATGACAGCCAAGCGAAAGGGGAAACCCCTTATAAAAACATCAAGTTTCATGAGACTTATTCACTACCATGAGAACAGTATGGGGGAAACCACCCCCATCATTCAATTATCTCCCACTGAGTCCCTCCCATAACACATGGGAATTATGGGAGCTACAATTCAAGATGAGATTTGGGTGGGGACACAGCCAGACCATATCATTCTGAATATAAGTTCTTTATCAGACATATGTTTTATAAATATTTTCTGCCAGCCAGAGGCTTGTCATTTCATTTTCTTTACAGTGTCTTTCAAAGAGAGGACATTAAAAACTTTTAATGAAGTTCAATAATCAACTATTTTCCTGTAAGAAAATTATTTTTAACTTTTTTTGCTTTCAAAACTCAAAGATATTTTATGGAACAGTTGGAATAAATATTTGCAATAAGGCACAGTTATCCTTGAGTATAAGGACAGAAAGCCTAATTTCATTTTCTCTGCTGTCAGAACAGGTTCTTTGGTGATACCACATGCATTTTTAGTAACCTGTTTCAATAGTACTATCTACTTGAGCATTCTCATTTTCTCTCTTTTATTTTCTTTTTAGAAAGGACCTCCCAAATGGGTTTGCTTAAAAGTTAGGTAAGTGAGAGGAGTAGTATGATCATTTTTATCATTAATTTCTCTGAACTCTCTTGTAGTTTATTTACCCAATAGCATCTTTCAATATCTGTCAGTATTTTCACCTCTGCACTCATATGGTCCCCACAAAAAACACTATAATAGTTAAGGACTGAGTCTGGAGTCAGAGGTACAATTCTCAATTCTATCACTTAGTAGTGTTAGTTAAAATTGTATAGTTCCTATTTATAAGTGAAACATGCAGTATTTGGTTTTCTGTTTCTGCATTAATTCACTCAGGACAATGGCCTTTAGCTGCATCCGTGCTGCTGCAAAGGACATGATTTCATTTTTTTTTAATGGCTACATAGTATTCTATGGTCTATATATACCACACTTTTTTGGTCTAATCCATTTTTTTTTCTTTGAGACAGAATCTTACTCTGTTTCTCAGGCTGAAGTGCAGTGACATGATCTCAGCTCACTGCTGCCTCCACCTCCCAGGTTCAAGCGATTCTTCTGCCTCAGCCTCCCAAGTAGCTGGGATTACAGGCAGGTGCCAGGACGCCCGGCTAATTTTTGTATTTTTAGTAGAGACAGAGTTTCACCATGTTGGCCAGGCTGGTCTTGAACTGCTGACCACAGGTATCTGCCCACCTTGACCTCCCAAAGTGCTGGGATTACAGGCATGAGCCACTGTGCCTGGCCTGTAATCCATTGTTGATGGGCACGTAGGTTGATTCCCATGCCTTTGCTATTGTGAATAGTGTTCCAATGAAATTGTGAGAGTACATGTGTCTTTCTGGTAGAATGATTTATTTTCTTGTGAACAGAGTGAGAGGACAACAGAGTGAAACTCTGTCTCAAAAAAAAAAAAATGGATTAGACCAAAAAAGTGTGGCGTGCATACACCATACTGAGTAATGGGATGACTAGGTTGAATGGTAGTTTATTTTAAGTTCTTTGAGAAATCTCCAAACTGCTTTCTACAGTGGCTGACGTAATTTGCATGCCCACCAACAGGGTACAAGCGTTCCCATTGCTCCACAGCTTCACTAGCATCTGTTTTTTTTTTTTTAACTTTTTGATAGTAGCTATTCTGACTGGTGTGAGATGGTATCTCTTTGTGGTTTTGATTTGCGTGTCTCTAATGATTAGTGATGTTGAGCCTTTTAAAATATTTGTTGGCTGCTCGTATGTCTTCTTTTGAAAAGTGCCTGTTCATGTCTTTTGCTCGTTTTTAAAGGGGTTATTTGTTTTCTGCTTGTTCAATTGTTTCCATTCCTTATAGATTTGGGATATTAGACCCTTGTTGCATGCATAGTTTGCAAATCTTACATTCTATAGGTTGTCTGTTTACTCTGTTGATAGTTTATACAATGTGTGCAGAAATTCTTTAGTTTAATTAGGTCCCACTTGTCAATTTTTGTTTTTTGTTGCAATTGCTTTTGGGGACTTAGTCATAAATTCTTTCCCAAGGCCAATGTTTAGAATGGTGTTTCCTAAGTTTTCTTCCAGGATTATTGTAGTATAAAGTCTTACATTTAAATTTTTGACCCATCCTGAGTTAATTTTTGTATATGGTGAAAGGTAAAGGTTCAGTTTAATTATTTTGCTTATGGCTAGCCAGATATCCCAGCACCATTTACTGAATACAGAGTCCTTTCCCCATTGTTTATTTTTGTCAGTTTTGTCAAACATCAGATGGCTGTAGTTGTGTGTCTTTATTTCTGGGTTCTCTATTCTGTTCCATTGGTCTATGTGTCTGTTTTTATAATATTACCATGCTGTTTTGGTTACTGTAGCTTTATAGTATAGTTTGAAGTCAGGTAATGTGATTCCTCTGGCTTTTTTCTTTTTGCTTAGGGTTGCTTTTGCTATTTGGGCTCTTTTTTTGGTTTTATATGAATTTTAAAATAGTTTTTTTTTTCTAGTTCTGTGCAAAATGACATTGGTAGCTTGATAGGAATAGAGTTGAATCTGTAAATTGCTTTGGGCCGTACAACCATTTTAACAATATTCATTCTTCCTATCCATGAGCATGGAATACTTTTCCATTTGTTTGTGTCATCTATGATTTCTTTCAGCAGTGTTTCACAGTTCTCTTTCACCTCCTTGGTTAGCTGTAGTCCTAGTTGTTTTTTTTTTTTTTTTTTTTTTTGAGGCTATTGTAAATGGGATTGCATTCTTGATTTGGCTCTCAGCTTGAAGATTTTTATTGTATAGAAATGCTACTGATTTTTGTGAATTGATTTGTATCCTGAAACTTTACAGAAGTCCTTTATCTGTGCCAGGAGCCTTTTGGCAGAGTCTTTAGGGTTTTGTATGTATGGATTCACATCAGCAAAGAGATATAGTTTGACTATGGCTTTTATTTTTCTATTTGGATGCCTTTTTTTTTCTTGCCTGATTGTCCTGGCTAGGACTTTCAATACTATGTTGAATAGGAGTGATGGGAGTGGGGACCCTTTTCTTGTTCCAGTTCTCAAGGGGAATGCTTTCAGTTTTTGCATGTTCAGTGTAATGTTAGCTGTAGTTTTGTCATAGATGGCTCTTATTATTTTGAGGTATGTTCCTTCAATGCCTAATTATTTGAGCGTTTTTTCAAGAGTCCAGAATTTCCTTGTTAGTTTTCTGCCTCAATGATCTGTCCAATCTTCTCAGTGGGGTGTTGAAGTCCCCCAATATTATTGAGTGGGTATCTAAATCTTTTTATAGGTTTGGAGGTACTTGTTTCATGAATCTTGGTGCTCCAATGCTGAGTGCATGTATATTTGGGGCAGTTAAGTCTTCTTGTTGAATTGAACACTTTATTATTATGTAGTGCCTTTCTGTGTCATTTTTTTACTGTTGTTGGTTTAAAATCTGTTTTATCTTATATAGGAATAGTGATTCTTTCTTTTTTTCTTTTCTATTTGTGTTACAGATCCTTCTACAACCCTTTACTTTGAGCCTAACAGTAACATTACATGTGAGATGGGTCTCTTGAAGACAGCAGACCGATGACTTTTGTTTTTTATTGAATTTGTCACTCTGTGACTTTTAAGTGAGGGTATTTAGACCATTTACATTCAAGGCTAATATTGCTATGTGAGGTTTTGATTCTATTTTGAAGTTGTTAGCTGGGTGCTTTGTAGTTTCTATTGTGTGGTTTCTTTATAGGGTCTTGGGCTATGTGCTTAGGTGTGCTATTTTGGTAGCAGATTTTCATGTTTAGAACTCCCTTAAGGATCTCTTGTAAGACTGGTCCAGTGGTAATAAATTCCTTTACCCTTTGCTTGTCTATAAAAGATTTTATTTCTCCTTCAGTTATAAAGGTTAGTTTGATGGAATATACAATTATTGGTTGGAAAATTTTCTTTCCTTTAAGAATGCTGAAAGTAGGCCTCCAATCTCTCCTGGCTTGTAAGGTTTCTGCTGAGCTATATACTTGGCCTTATGGGGTTCCCTTTGTATGTGATCTGATCTTTTTCTCTAGCTGCCTTTAAGATTTTTTTCTTTAGTGTAGACCTTGGATAGTCTGGCGACTATATGCTTTGGTGATGTTCATTTCCTATAGCATCAGTCAGGTGTCCTCTTGATTTCTTGTATCTGTATGTCTACCTCTCTAGCAAGATTAGGGAAATTTTCTTAAATTATTTCCTCAAATATGTTTTCCAGGTTATTAACTATTTCTCCTTCTTTCTCAGGAATGCCAGCAGTTTATGAGTTTGGTTGCTTCACATAATCCCATATTGCTCTAAGACTGTATTCATATTTTTAAATTATTTTTAATTTTTTTTTCTGGGTTAGTTCAAAAGACCAGTTTTCAAGGTCTGAAACTCTTCTGCTTGGTCCAGTCTATGAGAGATTGTACTTTATATGAATTCAATTGTACTTTATAATTCCTTAAGTAAGTTTCTCAATTCCAGAAGCTCTGATTGATTTCTTTGTAAGATGTTTATGTCTTCCTTCATTTCCTGGATTGCTTTAGAAATCTCTCTGTATTCATTTTCAGCCTTGTCTTGCATCTCATTGAGCTTCCTTGCAATCTATACTTTGAATTTTTTATCTGTCATATCTGAGCTTTTGTTTTGGTTAGGGACCATTGCTGGAGAGGTACTGTGCTCCTTTGATGGTGTTGATTTCATTACATTCACTTTTTTTATGGTGGTAGAATTCTTGTTCTCTTTCCTCCTCCTCTGGCAATACTGGCACTTCTAATTTTTGTAATTATTTCCATAAGGTAGGATTTTTTTCTTTATTTCCCTATAATATTATTGTTCTTTTTTCTTTCCCTTTCCATTCCCCCTCCCTCCTTAGGAGGTATGACTTTAGAGAATTCTGGGTAGGTCTTTTGCCCAGCTTCTATAGCCTTATGCACTTACAGGTTGCAGGTTTTATATTAGACTGTGCGGTTCAACCTACAAGCCAGTAGATGGCACTTATAGGTAAGAGCCAGTTTTGGACAATGTGATGGTTATATATTTGATCCTTGTTTACTGGAAGAAACTCTCTGTTGCTGCAGATAATGGTCTGACTCATGGAGTACACAGTGGTGTGAACTCCCTGCTCAGCCTTGGGGGTTGTGGGGAGCAAGGTGGGTGGGGCCAGACAAGGCAGGTCCACCTATAGGTCTTCCAATGGCAGACACAAGCACCAACACTGAGGGAGAATCTACTGAGTGGCTACCAAGTGACCAGAGTTCTGTCTAGGGGTGGAGCTAGGTAACCCCCTCGGCTCCAAGTTCTTTGCACAGGGATATTGGAGAGATTGGCCTAAACTCTTAATCCAGGAGAGTGGGGGCTCTGAATACCTGGAAATCTGCCTGCTTGTGGAGCAGAACCCACCCCCACCAACCAAGATTTCTGCACAGGGTAAATGGGGTGACTCAGGCTTCTTAACTAGGCAGGCAGGTGCTCTTAATGCTTGGATATTTGCCTGGGCATAAAACAGAGAGGATCAGCCCAGTACATGGATCTGTGAACGGGAAGGGTGAGGCAGCACAGGTTGCCAGTCTGTGTGAGCAGGTGCTTTGAATGCTAGGGTATGCAGCAGAGAGGACCTCCCTGCATCAAAATCTCTGCACAGGAAGGGTAGGGGAGGATAGGCTGCTGAGCCAGGTGAATGGGTGCTTCAGATATCTAGAGTTCTGCCTGGCTGTGGAGCAGAGAGGGCCCCATTGCACCATGACCTACGTCAAGGAAGGTTAGGTGGTTCAGGGTGCTGAACCTTGCTAGCAGGTGCTCCAAAATCCTGGGATCTGCCTAGGCATGAAGCAGAGAGGGCCTCCCTATTCTAGGATCTCTGCACAAGAAGGGTGGAGCAGATGAAGCTGCTGAACCAGGTGAATGAGTGATCCAAATGCCCAGATTTCTGCCTAGAGGTAGAGTGGAGGAGAGTCTGCTGCACCACAATCACAGGGGAACAGGGTGGGGTACCCAGCAATGACACACACAGACTAGTTCCAAGTAGCTAAGCTGCCTGGTTGCAAGTCTCATCACATAGGATAAACTGGCTGTAGCAGCTCCCCTCCTGCCCCAGGCCTGTGATGGGGGATAGCACAGTTTCAGTGTTTGCTGCTAAGGTTTTTTTTCCCCACAATTCTGGCCATGGAGGTCCCCACCCTGCTCTAAAGCAGGTGCTCCAATATCTGGCCCAAGACTAAAATGCCTGCACAGCTACGCTGCTTAGTTACCAAAGAATGATTGACTTTGTGGCATCTGAATTAAAAATGGTATCCTGCTCTCAGTCCTGGGTCTGAGAAAAGGCCTGAACCTTTTCCCAGTGTCTTTCCCTTACAATGTCTCTAAGCCTTTCTCCAAGTTATCTCCAGGGCTTTGGAGAAACAAGGTACTCTTCCCTCTGAGCACTGGGTTGCTCAGATCCCCAGTGGAAAGGTGAGTCACAGAGGGAGGCTCTCTGCCTCTCTCACCTACTGGAGCTTCATTCACTTTTTTAACTGGGTGCCATCATGGGGGCTGTTTGCCCATGTTCCCCTCCCTGGGATCTGTGTGTCCTTATGATTCTGGTAGATTCCCACTTTCCTTCTTGAAATAAAGCTCACAGAGTTAACCTTTATGAGACTTTGTTGAAAAATTTATGTAGGTTGGTATTTTTTTCTTCTTAAATATGTGATGAAAATAAACATTCAGGTCATCCCTTGCTTTGTGTGAAAGTTTTAAATTAAGAATTCAATTTTTAAAAATAGACACTAAGATTTTCTATTTCTTTGTGTGCCTGATTCAGTAATTTCTTTCAGGGAATTTGTCCATTTTATCTAATTTAATTCACTGAAATAATTTTATAAATATTATTCCTCAATTTCTTGGTCTGTTTGTGTTGGTATAAAGGAATACCTGAAGCTGAGTAATTTATAAATAAAAGAGGTTTATTTAGTTCATGGTTCCGCAGGCTGTACAAGAAGCATGGCATTAGCATCTGCTTAGTTTCTGCTGAGAGCTTTTGTGCTGGGTCAAACCATGGTGGAGAAGGTCAAAGCAGAAGCGGGCACATGTGAAGAGAGAATAAACCAAAGGGGCATCCTGGCTTTATAACAATTCACTCTCATGAAAAACAACTCATTCCCCTAGAACAAATTCAGTCTTGTGAGAGTGAGAACTCACTCACTACATTGAAAATGGTACCAAGGCATTCATGAGGGAACCAACCCTATGACTCAAACACTTCTCACTAAGCTCAACCTCCCAACACCACTACTTTGGGGATCAAATCCCAATATGAGTTCTGATGGGGACAAACAAACCGTGTACAAACCATAGCATTCTGACTTGGTCCCCTGAAAACTCGTGTCCTTCTCACATAAAAAAAAATGTAATCTTTCCATCCCAACAATAGTCCCCCAATTCTTAACACGTTGCTGCATCAATTCAAATGTCTGAAGTCCAAAGTCTCATTTGAGACTGGAAGTCAAGTTCCTTCCAGCTATGAGCCTGTGAAATAAAAAACAATTTATTTCCTTCCAAGATACAGTTGTTGTACAGGCATTGGATAGACATTCTCATTCCAAAAGGGAGAAATCAGCCACAAGAGAGGAGCAGTAGGCACCACGCAAGTACAAAACACAGCAGGGCAGGCGTTAAATATTAACGTTCTAAAATAATCTCTTTTGACTGTATGTGCTGCCTTCTGGGCACATGCCTCTTCTTTCTGAGACTTCACTCTTAGTGGTCTCACTCTCTCATCTCCGCAACAGTCACACTGCTTTCCTTGTTCTTCCTCAGACACACTAGGTACATCCAATGTTAGCACACTGATAATGCTGTTCCGTGTGTCTGGAATGTACTTTACCCAGACAAAACATGGATAATTTCTTTACCTACTTTAGGTCTTTGTTCAGACATCACCTTCTCAATGAGTCCTTCCCTAAGCACCTTATTTAAAATTTCAACCCCTCTTCTGACATGCTTTCTATTGACCCTCTCTACTTATATTTGCAACTTCTTATAAACTATATTTTATATCTGTATGATATATATTTTATTAGTTATATGTTTAGAGTTCATCTTTTCAGAATGTCAACTTATTAAGGGCATTTAAAAATAGTTGTATTTAATGCTTCATCCCACCTCCTAGAGGGCTGGAACAAAGAAGATATTCAATAAGACAAATAAAATAACCCTTTTTCAGCATATAATATTTTCCTGAATTTCCCTTTGTTTATTTCAGTTTCAGTTTTGTTTGCATTTCATGTTTGCCTATCACAATTAGCCTTTCTTTTAGTCATGGAGTTTTCTTTGTGAATTTACCTAGGGTGTATCTTTTGGTGGGCTGTCCAACTCATTCATTTCTTTGACTCCTCTTAGGCCTATATTATATCTCCATTGGTTTTGAATGTCACTAAATTTTGGACTAGCTACTTTGGGAGGGAAATGCAGCAGTTGCATTACACAAAGAACATGACTAATTGGCCTTTCCTGGTTTGACCTCATCAGAATTAAGATTAAGTTCAGCTCAACGTATGAAAAAATTATAGAAAATTTATACAAGTTCCCCTTACACTGAGGAAAATAAAGATGCTATGGATACCTTTATTTGGGATAGAAGAGAAAAACAGACATGGAAATTAGAAATGACAAAATATTGATACCATTCATATGCTAAATAATTCTATTCTGATGCTCTATTGCTGCATAATAAAATCACCCAGAAACTTCATGGTGTAAAATAACAGCCATTTTATTGTGCTTGTTGATATGGTTTGAATTTCTGTCCTCGCCCAAATCTCATATTGAATTGTAACCCCTAATGTTGGAGGTGGGGCCTGGTGGGAGGTGATTGGATTATGGGGGGCAGTTTCCCCCTTGGTGGTGGTGTGGCAATAGTGAGTGAGTGAGTTATCACAAGATTTGGTTGTTTGAAAGTGTAAGGCACCTCCCCCATCTTTCTCTTCCTCCTGCTCCAACCATGTGAAGATGTATCTGATTTCCCCATTGCCTTCCGCCATCTTTATACATTTCCTGAGGCCTCCCCAGAAACAGATGCCGCCATGCTTCCTGTACAGCCTGTGAAGCCATGAGCCAATTAAACCTCTTACAGAAACCCAGTTTCAGGTGTTTCTTTATAGCAATGCAAGAATAGACTAATTCACTTAAAGATTCTGTAGGTTAGGGTTTTGTTCAAGACATAGCAGGGATGGCTTCTTTTTGTTCCAGAATGTCTAAGCCTTTAGCCAGAAAGTTATGAACAACTGGGGGCAATTCAAGTGACCAGGGGCTGAACTTATCTAAGGCGGAGCTGAGAAATACATAGAAATGTCAATGATAGGCAATGATAGAAATATCCCCTATGTATGTTGGCTATAAAATAGTCACACGTGGCTAGTGAGCATTTGAAATATGGTTAGTAATACTGAGGCTCTGTACTTTTAATCTTATTTAATTTTTATTAATGTGAATTTAAAAAGCCACGTGTGACATGTGGCTAGTATCTACCGTATCAGACAGGTCAAATATCGCTTTCTTGGCTCATAGGTTTAGTACCTGGGGTAAAAGGACGTAAAAGCTGGGCTCACGTGGGATAATGAGCCAGAGGGCCTGCACATGGCCTCTGCATGTGGGTTTGGACATTGTGACCTCAGAGTAGTTGGACTACTTACATGTGGCTTAGGACTCCAAGAGTAAATATTGCAGTGATTAAGAAAAAACTGCATGGCTTTTCATGATTTAGCTTTAGAATTATTATAGCATTTTTATTAGTTGAATTAGTCACAAACCATTCTAGATTTAAGGACAGAGTACACAGACTCCTAAGATATCAATAGAAGAAGTGCCAAAGTATGTATCGTATGTTTTAAAACTTGCATACTCTCTCTCTCTTTTTTTTTTTTTTTTGAGACGGATCTCACTCTGTCACCCAGGCTGGAGTGCAGTAGTGTGATCTCGGCTCACTGCAACATCTGCCTCCTGGGTTCAAGCGATTCTCCTGCCTCAGCCTCCCGAGTAACTGGGATTACAGGAGCATGCCACCAAGCCCAGCTAATTTTTGTATTTTTAGTAGAGACAGGGTTTCACCATGTTGGCCAGGCTGGTCTCGAACTCCTGACCTCAGGTGATCCACCTGCCTTGGCCTTCCAAAGTGCTGGGATTACAGGCGTGAGCCACCGTGCCTGGCCAAAAACTTCCATACTCTCTAAAAGATTTGGTATTATATCAGAGAGCAGTTTTCTCCATTTTCTTAAACTTTGCATATTTTATAAATAATCTGCATTAGTGAGGTTGATAATGAAGAAATATGCTGATCATAAACTCTAAATATATACTGCATTTTTCTATATGGGGGCTTAGAATTTCTAGCCCAGGGTGGTAGATGAATCAAAGGGATACATCATACAAATGAATAACCTTTAAGCAAAAGATGGCATTGTAAAACTATAAAGGAGAATCTACTTCAATTTTGCATGTTAACAAATGAGGGTTCAAATTTGAATGCAGAACTTTCCATGTAAAATACAACCAGAGTCAATAGTAGCAGGGAATATAATATTTGCCTTGAAAATCACTAGCTGATACCCTCAAGGGAAAAAAACTTGTATATTTTACAATTTAGTTGAAATCTAATTTTAGAACACACCTTGGATCTCTCCAGACTACACCAATGGCCATCAATAAAACAGAAAGAAGTCACTCCTTTGGATATATAAATCTATAACAGTGCAGCTAGGATCAATCAGCCAATGGTGTATTGAAGGCAGAGATTCACTATGTAGAGGCATGTCAAGCATTTGGGAGACACTGTTTATAAGAATTCTTGTAGTGTAATTCATAATGGGGACTGTGGGAAATTGATTCATTGTATTGGTTAATATCATTGACTGAATCAGGAACTGAAAGGTCTCCCTGATTGATTTTATTCTCAACTGCTTGGCCATCTCCAGGATATGTTTCCTGTAGATAACAATTTTAGCTACCTCTTTCAATATAGGCTATGAGAAAATGCCTGATTCTAAGAATCTTGCAGTAAGTTTTGACATTCTCTGGACAGGATCCAGCTATTTCTGCCTGTCCTGTACCACTTGCCTCAGTGTCTTCTATTTCCTCAAGGTAGCCAACTTCTCCAATCCCATTTTCCTCTGGATGAAATGGAAAATTCACAAGGTGCTTCTCTTTATTGTACTAGAGGCAACGATCTCTTTCTGCACAACTTCCATTCTGAAGGAAATAATAATTAATAGTTTAATCTAAGAACGGGTAACAATAAAAGGCAACTTGACATTTAATTATATGGATACCATGCATGATTTCACTTCTCTGTTTCTCCTTCAGATGATGTTCATCCTTCCTTTTGTGGAAACACTGGCTTCCATTCTTCTCTTAATCCTCTCCTTATGGAGCCACACCAGGCAGATGAAGCTACATGGTATTTATTCCAGGGATCCCAGCACAGAAGCCCATGTAAAACCTATAAAAGCTATAATTTCATTTCTACTCCTCTTTATTGTGCATTATTTCATCAGTATCATACTAACATTGGCCTGTCCTCTTCTAGACTTCGTTGCGGCAAGGACTTTTAGTAGTGTGCTGGTATTTTTCCATCCATCTGGCCATTCATTTCTTCTAATTTTACGGGACAGCAAACTGAAGCAAGCTTCTCTCTGTGTCCTGAAGAAGATGAAGTATGCCAAAAAGGACATAATCTCTCATTTTTATAAACATGCCTGATATGAGTGATGATATTCTCAGAAAGAAAAAAAGGAAGAAGAACAGGAGGGCTACACATTTGTTTCTTTCACCTACCTCTTATTTTCTCATTATGTTCTATGATATATTGAGCATTATTGAAAATACTTGCTGATTTAAATTAAGCAGAACAGATTGCTACCTTGTTTGCACCATATATGGAGATTATGTATTTAATAGTAAAATTCTAATATATTGAAAATGCATTTTTCATTAGGCACTGTGATCAATATAATAGATTACTCTATCTTTAAATTTTATTAATATGTTGCATAAGCATTAGAATAGAATAGAAATACATCAAGAATTATAATATCTATGTATGTGTATAGAGTGTATATAAAATCAGATTTATATGTACAAACACATAGGGATTTAGTTCCTATCCTAAAAATGATGATCAATTGATAATTTAAAACTAGAAAGGAAAACTCAAATGAAAATAGTTAGTAGAGTCTACAGCTTAGTGAAAACTTTGAGGATATGAAACAAAGTCAATTGAAATGTACATCACTAAGAGTTATTTCCAAATATAAGCCCTATTCTGTTAATATTTTCAGTCATTTTCAGTTAAAAACACTAAGCAACTTTGACCATCAAAAATGTTACAATCTTGACCATCTACAACAGACTTGTACTGTAGAATCTGAATCTTTGGACTAACAATAAAATTTTACTCAATTGGTTAACTGTGTAAGGAAGGCAAGGACACGTATTAAAAAATCAGTAAGATTTTAAGTAAGCAAAATTGGAGGACTGCTGCTGGCATCTAGTGTAGAGTTACCAGGTTTAGTAAATAAAAATATAGAAGACCAAGACGATAGTAACAAATACAGGATCTCATTTGATGAAAGTCACTGTGTAAAGAAAGAAAAATAAATAAAGTTTTGAAAAGAAAAACAAATCAGGGATAACCAATCAGTTTACAGAATTGAATTTAATAAGAACGTCTCCTCTTAAAAATGTAATGAGAAAGCATGTAAAAATAGCAGGTTAAATAAAAGAACACAATCGCAAGTTTAAGGTAACAGTAATAAATATTTAAAATGAAATAATTGGAAGCAGATTTTGAAGAACAATTACGTTCTCTCTAAGAAAAAAAAGAACATATTGCAAGCAAATAATATAATTTTCAGCAGTAAAGACAAAAGACAAATTTTCAACATTGCAGAAAGTATTTTAAAAAGTTAATTATATGGTAATCGATAGAACAAAAAGTAAACCCTAGAAAAATAACCTGGACATTGCAGGCCTAAAACGAAATTTTAAATGTGTGAATAAAATTAAAATATCCAGAGAATAGACCACGAGATTTCCATGTGCAAAGGATGAAATCCCTTTAGGACAGTGGTTCTCCACACAGGGCAATTTTGCCCCCCTAGGGGACATTTAATAATGCCTGGAGACATTTCAGTTAAAATTGGACGGATGCTGCTGGCATCTATTGTAATGTTAACAGATTAAGCAAATAAAAATATAGGAGGCCTAGTTAAATTTACATTTCAGACAAAAGAAAAAACAACAAGAATAAATTTATAAATAAGTATTACTTGTGATAACCATAATATGAGTTTACATCATAATGTAAGTGTGCTATGGAGGACCAATTACAGACCTGCAGCATTGATAATTGGATACACAGACAATGACAATTATTTGTTGCTTATTTGAAATTCAAATTGAACTGACACACTCTGTATTTTACCTGATAACTGTACGAGGACAAGGATGCTGCTCAATATCTCACAATGCACATGACAGTCCCTCACAACAGAATTATCCAGCATAAAATGTAAATTGTTCTAAAGTTAAAAATCATGCTTTGTGAAGATGTAATAATGAAAAGCACAAATTCCATAATAGCAATTAGGACTGAAAAAATAAAATCAGTTATTGATATAAGATTTCACACACACCAGCTGCCTTCCTTATCTCTGAAATGTCCAGCTTACCATACTTAGGCTCTGATTTCTGCACATACATCCCCAGTTCACACTTGCTTACAAGCAGGCCTTACTTTGAGACAGGAATGATTTGGGCTGCTTTAGTCCTTCACCAATTGCTGATTAATGAGCTGTGATGGCTTCCAGTTAAAATAATTTGTGGGTGAAAAATTCACAAAATATACTTCATTTTTAAAAATTAGAGTATAGAAATTCTCAAAGCTGTGTTCTTGTTTATAGGGTACTGTGAATTCCTAAGCCCCATAATTCTGTAGATAGCTTGTTTATGGCAGTCTTCTATTTACCTCCATAACAATTTTAGATTTTACTTCTTTTTCTTCCTCCTATCATGATATGGGATATTCTGATAATGATTTTAGCAATTTTGCTAAGTGATAATCACAGACTTAATTTGAATCATAAAATGACATACCCCTTATGAAATAAGATTATTCACTTTCAATCCTTTCTAACTGCTCCAGTGCTCTCAAAGGGTAGTGTCATCCCTGATGTCACAGTTCTCCTGTCCCCCTTACCTCTGGACTCATCTCTTAATCTAAAATAAAAACAAATTGTATGCAAAAGAAAGAAACATTTTTTAAAAAAGTTACTTCTGATGGATTTAGTTCTGTCCAGGAAGAAAATAGATGATATATTCAGAATACTCTACAATCTTTGGCAACTGTGTAACCTTGATCTTGGGAATGGATGTTGGGAAAAAAATTCTCCATGAATGTATTGCACTTCTGCATGGTCTAGCTCTTATCTTGTGAGCAAACAGTATGTTTGATGAGCAAACAGAAGGGCCTCAACTAGGATCAGGTGAGCAAGGCATGCAGGGTGCAAAGTTTGAGGAGCCACTTGGTTTTAGGGCCCTGCAACCTATTGAATGCCTTTTTACGTTTTGTGCCCTAGGAGTCTCGTTCACTTTGCCCAAGACCAGGTCATGGCAAAGAGCCTTGGGATTTAGAAATAGGGTATCCCTCTTGGTCAGAAGGCAGATTTGTTTAAAGATAAAGACTCTTCTCTTCTTCTTCTTCTCTCCAGAGATATTTGCTTACATTCCAGTGTAAAGCTTCTTCTTCAGAAGGCAAGATGGACAGGTTACTCACAGTGATCAAAGTTTTTAAGACTGGAGTTTCCTAATTTTGAGATTTCTCTTTTGATAGACACCACTACTTGCACATGTAACATCAGTTTCTCATCTTATCCCTGTGAGGGGACTGAAGCTTGAAGAAATAGTACGATGATATTCCTCTGACTACTGCTAGTACTTCAGTGAATAATAAACCATCTTTTGCCTTCTGCAAGTACAACAAGTGACAAGCTAAGTTGTTAGCTTATAATAATTTTGGCAACGAGGATGGAACACAGCCCAAAGACCTGGCCTTCTGAGGAGAAAGTGAAGGATCCTACAAGCTGATTAATAGGATTTGCTGAAAGTCCATGGGAACTGGTAGCTAACATGTTGACTAAAATGTTTGTAATTGGTAAATAAATATTCTTCTATTATGTTGCTCATTAATGAGGAGGATTGGGAAGTGGTTGAAAATTGAGTACCACTGGTAGAACTGAAACAGACTTCCAAATGACACTTTTAGATTTAGCTGTCTTCTCCAGATAACATTAGGTAGACAGATTAAAGATCTCCCAAAGTTGTTACAGGCCTTTGGTGGAAAGGTGAAAAGATTAAGGATCTCCCAAAGTTGTTACATTCAGATGCTTATTCAGTTAACCACCGAGTAGTGGCAATAATGCTTATTTGAAAGTAAATGTGTCTTGCATACTGGCCTGAAGACACTTTCTCTATATTTCCCTGATAACTTCTTTACCTCTATTCTGATGTCAATTGCTTTAGGGATTCGGGCTGGGCCTGAGATCTTCCTGACCCAAGGGACACCAAAGACCCTACAGAACCATCCCAACATATTGCAAAGCTTCAAGGAGAGTAGGGACTCAAATTAGTATAGCCCTGTTGGATATATGTGCACAAATCACCATTCTACTTGGTTCTGGGGGTTGGGGGAAGGGGTGCTGAGGGATGGAGGACAATAGCATGTGAGGAAATACAAAAGAGACCCTACTGGGAGGTGCACTAGAAAGAAGGGCAAGAAGCCAAGAGGAAAAAAAAAAAGCCAACCCTCCCCTCCCCTCCCATCCCCTCCTCTTTCCTTCCCTTCTTTTCCTCCCACCTCAGCCACCCAAATGACTAGGACAACAGGCACACACCATCATGCCTGGATAATTTTTTAGTGTTTTGTAAAGACAGAGGAGTCTCACTATGTCACCCAGGCTGGTCTAGAACTCCTGGCCTTAAGCAGTCCTCCCACCTCTGCCTCTCCAAGTACTGATATTACAGGCATGAGCCACTGCACCGGGGAGGCCTACAGTCGTTCTTTATAGTTTACCCTCTTTTTTCCTGCATTCTATAAATACTCAAATAGAAGATAGCAGGGCCTTCTGGCTACTGTGACAGCCTCTAACAAGCAGGTTTAGAAAGAAAAAGGAAAAAGAAGTGCCTGAGTTCAACTGATGAGGATTGAACAAACAGTGCACACACACACACACAAACACACACACACACACACCAAAGTTAGGAAGACTTTGTGGATAGGGCCCTTTGGACCCATTCGATGCACTGCTTTTTATTGTCTTTATATCTGTATGTATGGTGTGATATTAAATACTTAAAATATTATCTCATAAGTGCCAGAGAGATTGACCCAGGGAAAACCACCAAAAATGTTAGTGGGACAAACTCCCTGGCCATTTGAGCCAGTTGGTGGAGCATAATTTACCATGAGTGCCTTCACCCTCCAATGTCCGAACCTACCCTTATTGGGCTTTTTGTGTATTGCAAAAAGAGAAAATCCCTCTGTGCAAGATAAAACAGAAAATTACTCAATGTACTCAAAACAACTCACAAAAAATCGACCATTTCTCAAGGAATGAAACAATCAAGAAATTACAACCTTGAAATTACTTAGATATTAAAATGACCAAAGACTTTACAGGAGCTGTTGTACCCATCCTTCATGAGGTCAAGGTAGACACTCAAAATGAATGGAAAGGAAAAACTTGTCAGCAGAAAAATAGGAATTATAAATTATAAATTAAGAAAACAGATATTTTAGAAATGAAAAATATAATGTCTTAAAAAACCTTTATTGGGCATGATAAATAGCATAAAGAAAATGATGGAGGAAAGACAGTGTTCTTGAGGTTGGATCAATAGAAATTATATACTCTAAACAATACAGGGTAAAATAATTGAAAAAATTATACATCATATCATGAATATGAAAGGCTATAACAAATGATGTACTATTCATGCATTCTGAGTTTCAGAAAAGCAGAAGAGGTTGATGTTGAAAAAGGACTCAGAGAAATAATGATCAAAAATTTTCCAAACACAGCAAAGAGCATAAACCTACAGATTCAAGAAGCTGAGCAAATCCCAACCAGAATACAACCAATGAAATCCATTCCAGGAAAATTCATTGTCCAATTTCTGAAAATTAAAGACAAAATATTGAAAGCAGAAAGAAGGAAATGACATCATAGTTATAGGGAAAATGCAATATAAATAATAGTGGTTATTATCACCAGAAACCAGAAATAACAGTAGAAAGGAGCACAAATATTTAAAGTGCTCAAAAGTAGAAATGGTCTACCAGATGTTTATGTTCAATAAAAATATCCTTCATTAATGTAAAGGAAATCCAGGCATTCTAAGAAAAAAAGAAAAGCTAGAAACCTAGGAGAATTTCTTTCCAACAAACCTATCTTTAAATAATAGCCAAATGAAGTTCTCTAAACATAAAGGAAAGAATAGAAGAGAAATTTGTGGAACATCAAGAATGAAGTAAAAATAAGAGAAAGGGGGAAAGTGGGCAAACACAATATATCTTCCTTTTTCACTTGAGTTTTCTTCATATGTTTTAACCAGCCATTGCTAGCATTGAAGATGGAAGAGAGACAGGAAATGTGGAAAAATGACATTCTTCTCTAGAGCCTCTAGGAGGAAACTCAGCCTTGACACATGGATTTAACTCAGTGAACCTCAGTTCAGATTTCTGACCTACAAAACTGAAAAATAATAAATTCATTTTGACCTAAAAATTATAAAGGGATGTAAGGTTTCCATACTTCACTAAAACTGGTAAAAAGTGTACACCACTAGATTATAAGCTATGTACATGTAAAGTAAAACATAGAAGAATCACTAAAAACACTGTTCAGAGAGATACACTCAAAAATTATACGGATCAACTAAAATAGAATTATAAAACACTTTCAGTGGCCCCATAGGAGATCAGGAAAAAGAAAACAATCAAAAGTAGTATAAATAAAAAACAAAAAATATGACAGCTCTAAAATATCAAAAAATGCATTAAGTGTCAATGGTTATTGAAAGTAAATTTTTGCCATCTCAGTTTGTGATTTACGCTTTTGCATAGATATATACTTTAAGTCACAAATATTTGTATAACAACTAATTATACATAAACTCATTCATATTCTCATGCAAATATCTGGAAGAAGCCTGGGTGAGTCTCTCCAACTCTCACTGAGCCAAACCAGGTCTAGATGGGTAAGGTGTCCATCCTGTGTGTTCTATGAAGATTAACAGTCTCCCAAAGTCACACACTTCCTAATTCTCAGACAAGTGAATATATTAACTTACATGACAAAGGGAAATTACATTTGCGAATCAATTGACCTGAATTTAGAAAGGTTATCCTGGATTATCTAGGTGGACTCAATGTAACCATAAGGTCATTAACTGCAGAAGAGGGAGGCAGAAGAGTCAGTGCAAGGGCGACGTGATGCTATGTGATGGGAGGCTCAAGTGGCTATTGCTGGCATTGAAGATGGAAGAAGGCCAAGGAATGTGGACAAAAAATGGGTGCTTCTCTAGAGACTCCAGAAAGGGACTCAGCCTTGACAGGTGGATCTAACTGAGTAAGACCTATTATACATACTATGCTTCTCTAGTTTGCCACAATTACTTAATTTCCTGTAATTTAGTGTTAGCCTTGTTCTAAAATAAGCGCCTTCTTAGAAAGTGGTGGATAGCAGAGTGATACTCATGGCTAATGAACAATTTGCTATATTTTCTAAATTGAAAACAACATCGACAACATCCGGTTAAACTGGAATTACAAAGAGAAGAGAAAATCAACTTAATTTTTCCTCATTTACTACAGTGACCCTAGCCATGTGACTTAATTTCTTTAGATATAATTTTTTTTTTGTATTTTTAGTAGAGATGGGAAAAAATTAGTCAGTCATGGTGGCGAGGGACCTGTAATCCCAGCTACTTGGGAGGCTGAGGCAGGAGAATTGCTTGAACCCGGGAGGTGGAAGTTGCAGTGAGCTGAGATCATGCCACTGCACCCCAACCTGGGTGACAGAGCAAGACACCATCTCAAAAAAAAAAAAAAGAAATATGCTAAATTAATTGTGAAATATATATATTTATGGACCACTAACATCAAATTTAAAAATATAGAAGATATTTTTAATAGTTAATTGGCCATAATAGTGTCACCAAACTTTTTAGACAAGTCAAAGCAAGTTGAAGTCTCAGAGACTATTGTGTTTATTTGCTAACTGTATTATCAGAATGCTTAGTTGGTGCAATTAATAGAATAATTCTGCCAATTCATAACACTGCCAGACCACAGCGACCCAATGAAACTCACTGACTCTCAGAGAAGTTTATTCCCTCTGTCAATGTTCATCTTTCCTGGCAAACCATCTTTAGTGTTCCAGGCAAACTAGAGCATGGTGAAGTCGAAGAAGATTCTACTTTCTGTTCCATTCAGAGAGCTTCCTGGTTTTCAAAAAAGAGTGAGGCATGTGGGTGTGAAAGAGCTGAGGCATGAAATTTGGATCTTATCACAAGTGCAGAAGAAAAAACAGGAGATTTGAAGCACAAATGTGATATAACCTAATTTCTACTTTTAAATGATCACTCTGATTGTTGTGAGGGAACTGATATGGGATGAGCTGGGGGAAGAACATTACCAAGACCAGCTGGAGGCTGGTAAAGTCCTCCAGGAGAGAGCATCATGGCTGAACAATCACCTTCTAGTAAAGATCAGGCAAGTGGTCATATTTGGGACGTATTTTGAAAGTGGAGGCAATTAGATCGGCTAATGCATAAGTTCCTGGAGGGAGCGAGGATTTTTGAACCACTAGGTAAACACCTGTCAGTGACCGAGAAAATGTTGGGATGTGTTATGAGAGATGAATCCTAAAATTTCATATGTTGAAGACTGGCCCTTCAGGGCCTCAGAATATGAACATCTATAGTAGAAGGCAAGTGTGGTGCTGAGGGCTGCCACCCACCTCTAGGTACCCAAGCTCCTGCAGCAGTCCTGCGTCTCCCTTTCACCCACCTTCACTCACAGACAGTGTCCCTTTCAGCTCTTCCATTACCTCTGTTTTTGATGTGTCTAGTGAGAGCATAGCTGATATTTATGCTTTCCTGATACACTAGTCTCTCGCTGATTGCTGACATTGGAGCAGGTTAGGGAGCAGGCCTGAGCTGAGTGACCTTTAGGAGGATTTCCTGTTCTTTTCCTGTACTCTGCTGCCAAGGAGAAACCTGTCTTGCACCAGGCCTGCAGCTTCCTCAGTCCCCCACATCATCAGGCAATATCTGCCTGGCACTCCTCTTTGTTCCTTTTCTCTGACCTTCCTTTTTGACATGATGGTTGACCTGAAGTCACCGAGGCAGGACTGCTCATCTCCAGGTCCTATGGGAAACAGTACCTGGTGAAACCAGAGACAATAATCTCCATAACGCATTGGGAGCTGCTGGGCTCAAGCAACTACTCTGTGCCTGAGATACAACTCATACGGCCCAGCTAGAGCTGATCTACTTCCCACAGGGCCAGAGAAGAATTGCCAATTAAGAATGCATTCCCCCCTGAAATAGGTCTATATTTATTCCAGGGAAAATACCAATCTGCCTGGGTCCCTTACAAGAACAATGTCGTCTGTAGCAAAATCTAATCTACTAGGAAGCCTTCTTGTATTATTATCTGCAACTTTTCAGAAGAGCCATACCAGACCCTCATATGCCCAGCACAGGATCCACTCATGCACACCTGTCTAGGGCCTTGTCTTTATGATTTTCTGTCACCTGGCTTCTCAGCCATGCCTCCAACCAAGCTATCCTCAAATAAAGACTAACCATGCACAAAAAGTGAAAAATTACACAAGACCTACTCAAGGTCTGAAATGGAAAGTGCAGCTGGTGATTCTGAGTAGTATATTTTATGAATTGATGAGCAGGGAATTTCTAGGTATCACAGAGCAATCAGCAGCTGAGGAGAGAGCGACAAAACCAGGACTCTGACAGGGCTTTTTGGAAACTTAATTTTTGGAGCAATCAGCAGCTGAGGAGAGAGCTACCAAACCAGGACCCTGACAGGGCTTTTTGGAAACTTAATTTTTTATTGTCAAATTATACAGACAAAAATGAAAGTAAAGGTAGTGAGGAGTACCACACACCTTTACTTAGAAGGATAAATAAAGGACACCTTTGTAGGGAGAAAAAAAAAGATATAGGACGAAAAGTAAACATGGCAAGGTAGACTCAGAATACAAAATTTCAACAAATAAGTGCGAGAAAAAGAATGAGAAAGAATGAGTATTGGAATATTACAGATAAAAATCCTTGGTGAGAAAGAACACTCTGATGAAACAGGTGACATAATTACTGAGTAAAAGCAGAAGACCAATCAAGGCAATTGAGGCTTGGACAGGTATTACAAATTATCTTAGATGAATGTATAATTGTGGCCATTTAATTATCAGTGATGACAATTACAATATTTATTAGAAGAAATAAAGTAGAGGATGAATTCTATGGAATATTCTGGAGAAAGTGGAGGTCTTAGCTATATGACATCGTGTGGCTCACTTAGGGAACCATATATTCAGTTTGTTCAGGTCTAGAAATTCCTTGGTGGTTTCTGAGTTCAGTTTTGCTTTAATAAACCCTAAAGATATTTTTAAAATACAAATATTTTAGCTTGCCTGTGTTGTATAGCACCAAGGCTTGCCTGAGTGTAGTGAGATTCACAGAAGTTTGGACAATTCTTGTAGCCTGAGCAGGCTGCCAGCACCTTTCTCTCATATATGTGTGCCTGGGAGTGTGCTGTCCTCACACATCTCACAGATAAGCAAGACCATCTCTGTTACATGAAAAATTTAGCTAAATGTGAAAATATCCACGCACACACATCATGAGAGATGGAAAGAGGCTATCAAAACAGTCAGAGATATTGACCATCTTCACTGTTAGCTGTAGGATCAGTGTCCACCCCCCGACACACCCACACAAACTCACATACACAGAAATGAAAAGCACAGTGAAAAGCAGAATAGCAGTCTTTCCAAACAGATTGAAAACCAAAAGATGTCTAAAGTTCAATCCTGACACTGTGCCGACTGCTTGGACACAGTTCCGTCAAAACATTTGTCCAAGTCATAGTTGTGCCTTTTAGGAATTAGACACAAACAATATCCTACCCAACCCTTCCTGCTGAGCTAGAGTCCCAAAAGAAATGAGGGATACACTTGACCTGAAGTAAGCAAAGCAGAAGCCAGTCTCTGAGGCGAGGAGGCCCACCTGGTAGGGAGCTCAAATGCACCATTGTCCTGCTTGTCTTTATAAAGGGAGCTGACACGTTTCTCCCAGCACAAAGTTGGGAGTGACACCAGAGCCTCCTGCAAGATGCTTCTGATTCTGCTGTCAGTGGCCCTGCTGGCCTTCAGCTCAGCTCAGGATTTAAATGAAGGTAAGATGAATTGGGGGAAGATATTGTGACTCTGATTGGGGTTTACAGGCAAATGCTATAGAGGAGGAAAGTGGAGGGAAGAGAGGAGGATGAGAAAACAGATGGGACTGCAGAGTTCTCATGCTGAGGATCAGAAGATCTATTGTACCTCCATTCCTCATCAAGGCCTCATAGTTTATTTGTTGCACAAATAGAATCCAATAAAGAATTCGTACTAGGGGTGTGAGAGAGTGAGATTTGCATTATATAGAGACATGGGACTGCTGTGAAGGATGTGGAGAATGCAAGACAGATTCAGGGAAGTACAGCTGTGAAGATCCTGTACTGATCCCAGTAGACAGGGATGATGGTGGCCTTGCTGTACAGTGGATGAGCATTAATGAAGGAGATAAACACATGTCAGAGCTACTGCCGAGGCAGAGAATTGGGTAAACACTTGTCTCTGTCTACATAGAGTTAGAGAATAACCAGAGTGAAACATTGTCATTTTTCTGTCTCCTGAATGTAGTATTTCAATGTGCTGGGAATGGCATGCGTAAGATTATATCCAAGTGGCTATGTCTGGTGGCTCCTGTTGAGAAGGCTTGCAAACATAAACAACATATTTACAGATGAAAGAGGGCAGAAGAATCCCCAAATATGTCATTGAAATACTCAGAGCAGTTTAACTAAATAAGCGCTAAGGGTTTACAGGCAAATGCTATAGAGGAGGAAAGTGGAGGGAAGAGAGGAGGATGAGAAAACAGATGGGACTGCAGAATTTTCATGCCGAGGATCAGAAGACCTATTGTATCTTCATTCCTCATCAAGGCTTGGGGAATCAAAAGAGGACAAACAGGGGCCCTTCTATGTTGAGTTCCTGGTTGACGCTCAGTGTAGTAACAATACTGCTTTCCCTTACATCTTCTTCCACTTCCAGTAGCATCAGAGAGTGGCTGATGAGATCACAAAGGGGATGCACAGGGTGTGATCAGAGGTCCTTTATCCTCGTAGAACACTATGAGCCTTGAATGATTCAGGAAGTAACTTTTCCCATCATCCTGTACTTCTTTTCTAGATGTCAGCCAGGAAGATGTTCCCCTCGTAATATCAGGTAAATCCCAATAAATTCTCAGTAAACTCTGTCTCCATTTTTCCCTGAAAAATTGATGAGTTCTCCAGTGTCTTCTTATCACCATTTTCTTGTCAGGAATTGGCTAATACCAATGCCCCAAAGATACAAACAGTTTTCTCCCAACCTTGATTCTGGGGACCATGAGTAAAGAAATTCAATTTTTCATCACCCTTATGTGGATTAAGAGGAGTTCTAATTAGGAAGCCTTGGGAAGGGGGGAGGTTGGGAGTTGAGAGGCAGGTCAGGCAGAGAGGGGCCGGCCGTGTGGTGAAGACAGAGAGGTATGAAGACAGGAGGGTTTTCCAGCATGAGCTCAGCTCTTCTTGTTTCAACTCACACAGATGGAGGAGACTCTGAGCAGTTCCTAGATGAGGAGCGTCAGGGACCACCTTTGGGAGGACAGCAATCTCAACCCTCTGCTGGTGATGGGAACCAGGATGATGGCCCTCAGCAGGGACCACCCCAACAAGGAGGCCAGCAG
Source organism: Homo sapiens (assembly GCF_000001405.40). Lineage (NCBI taxonomy): Eukaryota > Metazoa > Chordata > Mammalia > Primates > Hominidae > Homo > Homo sapiens. Next base: position 81,264 of record NT_187658.1, on the reverse strand, counting down.
CAACAAGGTCCACCACCTCCTCAGGGAAAGCCACAAGGACCACCCCAACAAGGAGGCCAGCAGCAACAAGGTCCACCACCTCCTCAGGGAAAGCCACAAGGACCACCCCAACAGGGAGGCCATCCCCCTCCTCCTCAAGGAAGGCCACAAGGACCACCCCAACAGGGAGGCCATCCCCGTCCTCCTCGAGGAAGGCCACAAGGACCACCCCAACAGGGAGGCCATCAGCAAGGTCCTCCCCCACCTCCTCCTGGAAAGCCCCAGGGACCACCTCCCCAAGGGGGCCGCCCACAAGGACCTCCACAGGGGCAGTCTCCTCAGTAATCTAGGATTCAATGACAGGTACGATTCCAGTTTATTATCCATCAAAGGCTCCAACTGCTACAGTTCTCCAACTTCATTGTGCCAATGAATCCTCTGAAAACCTGTTAATATTGCCCTGTCCTGGAACACATTTCTAAAAATTGTTATTCAGATATTCTTGTATAGAGTATCAAGACCCTGTGACCCTGTGTTTTACAGAAGCTCTTGAAGGCAATTCTGATTTTGAGAATCACTATCTTCAAATTACATGTCTTAAGTAGGGTTGACAATGAGGACATAGAACCATGTTCCCCCTTTGGCTCTCTCTATTTTCTTTCCTCAAACTCAGACTCCCATTTAAAGTTTTCACCTGAACATGCTTTGCTCAGTCCTGCCTCACATCAGGCTTTCAGGTCCAGTATTCCTGCTAAGTGGTCCTTGAACTTTCAGTTGTAAAATGGTATCTCATTTTTAGTATACTTACATTTAAAGTCATACATGCTTAAGCTAACAAAAACTAATCTCACTGAACCGAAATGTACAGAGCTAAATAGTAAGAGCCTAACTCATCTTTCCTCCCTTCTATCCTTCTCAAAACCCCCACCTTTTACTCTTTGGAATCTACTTTTTGAAATATATATTGCTACATAAATATATATAATGCTTTTATTACAAGCACTTATACCATACTGTATATTCAGATTTGTGTCTTACTCACTGGAAAAATTTATTGTTTAGAAAACTTTCTCATGAGTTCATTTAGATCTCTTCAGTGTTTATTGGTTAGTTTGTTTTTACAATTGTATACTATTCTATTGTTTGGTTGTTCCGTAATCTATTTAACCAATCCCTGTCACTGGATATTAAGGCTGGATTCACATTCTCACTATTATATGATATGTTGCAGTGCCCATCTTTGTAAAAATAGCCCTTACATAACCAACAGCAGCAAAGCATGAACACATAACAATAATTGTTTCTCTTTCTCATCTAAGCAACACTTTAAATCACATTATGTGCAATGGCTTAAAGAGTGAACAAAGAAAATATTACTAAGGAGAAGGGGGCTGTAGAAGGGATAGAGGGCAAGAGTAGGGGCTTGCATCTCCATCACTGCAGTAACCCCCAGTGAGGGATTAGACATTTCCTGCCATGTCAAGTGTTGTCTGTAATCTTCCTTGTTTGCTTGTCTTTTTCAGGAAGTGAATAAGAAGATAACAGTGTTTCAAATGCCGTGAAACATGGCATCATGCTCTAACTTCAGTATACCAATAAAACAATCAGCTTGCAATTTCTGCTGGTGGTGTCTCTTTCTGAGTGTTTGGGACTCTAGAATCTGAGACCCATGTTCACATTGTAAGAATATCCAGGACCCCTTCTCCTTGATGTTTCCAGCAAGCTTCTCTCCTCCTTATCCTTATTAAGTCATCCACCTGGGGAAGGAGTTCCACTGTTTCTTTCCTTCTCTGTCTTCTATAGCTCGAATTTAAGTTGTACAATTATTTTCAGGTCATTTCTTGATATTCTAGTCAGCTTATGAATGTAAGCAAAACAATACCAATGAAAGAAAATCCCAGAAGCTGAGAGAAATTTTAACAAGTTCAAAAGTAACCGATTTTGTTTTCTAGGGAAATGAGTATGGTTCTATGCCTCTATTCCCCAGAAGCCACTAGACCTATTTTCCCATATTTTATCACTGATCAGTTCTGTCCCTGCCTATGAGTCTTACTATTCTTAAGAAAACCTAAATGGATTTCATCAGAGGCAGCCTGACTTGAATGGGCAAAGAATTTGGAATCTCTCAGATTGCAGTTTAAGAACTATGTCTTGCTAACTCTGGACTCATAGGAAGCTACTTAAGTCTCAGAGCCTAAGTTTCCTCTTCTAAATTTTTGAATAATCAAAATGGCTCCCCTAAAGGATGAAGACTAAGCAGATCACATACATGAAACACTAGTGGATATAGTCATGTCTGCTTCACAATAATGATTTTAGGAAAGAACAGCAGACATGAAATTGTGAGGAATTAAATGTTCCCGAGTTAAAAATCTTAAGATTTCTTTGTCCAAAAAATCTAAGTAGAATAGTCTCTGATATTGTTTTTTTCTAGGCTTTCAAACAAAATAGGAACACACTGAGTATTCATATTTTTTTTAGCATTTTCTTTCTTATCAGACCCGTAAAATTCTAATTAGGTTTTTTTTAAAAAAAATAGTATCTGCTTATGGAAATTTAATTATGACAATTAGAAATGCAGGCTCTTTCTTCCTCCTCCTCCTCCTCTTCCTTCTTTTTTATTTCTCCTACTCCATCTCCCTCTTTTTCTTTTTTGAAAAAATATGCTTAAATTTGCCTTCAATTATATTTATTTATTTATTTATTTATTTATTTATTTATTTATTTTGAGATGGAGTCTCATTCTGTCACCCAGGCTGGCCTGCAGTGGCAAGATATCGGCTCACTGCAACCTCCGCCTCCCAGGTTCAAGCGATTCTCCTGCCTCAGCCTCCTGAGTAGCTGGGATTACAAGCATGCACCACCATGCCTGGCTAATTTTTGTATTTTTAGTTAAGACGGGGTTTCACCATGTTGGTCAGGCTGGTATCGAACTCCTGACCTCGTGTTCCATCCGCCTCGGCATCCCAAAGTGCTGTGATTACAGGCGTGAGCCACCGCACCCGGTCACCCTCAATTTATTTTTAAACTTTATTTTTATAAATATATGTGGTTCAAAGATAATTTTGTTACATGTATACATTGCATAATGGTTAAATCATGGCCTTAGGGTTTCCATAACAAGAATAACAAATATTGCATTTACTAATTAATGTCTAACTCTTAATTCCCTCCCACCCACTCACTCTTCCAAGGCTTCAGTGTCTATAGTTCTCCCCTCTATATCTATGTAAACACATTTTAGCACCTACTTATTAGTGACAACATGTTATACTTGACTTTCTGTATCTGGCCTTTGTCACATAGCATATTATCTGTCACATCCAGTTCCATTCGTATTGCTACAAAAGGAGTGATTTCGTTCCTTCTTTTTTTTTTTTTTTTTTTTTTTTGCAGAGTAGTATTGCATTGTGTATATATCACGATTTCTTTACCTACAAACCCATTAGTATCCATTGATGGTTACTTAGGTTGATGCCATATCTTTGCTGTTGTGTATGGTGTTTCAATAAACATAGAAGTGCAGATTTATTTTTCATATACTGATTTCATTTCCTCTGCATAGATACAGTAGTAAGATTGCTAGATTGAATAGTAATCGAGTTTTAGTTCTTTGAGAAATCATACTGTTTTCCATAGAGTTTATACTATTTACTTTCCAATCAGGGTGTATAAGAGCTCTCCTTTCTCCACATCCATCCCAACATCTGTTTTGTTTGTTTGTTTGTTTTAATCATAGCCATTCTGAATAGGGTAAGGTGATAGTGTGGTTTTGATTTTTATTTCTCTGATGATTAGTGATATAGAGTATTTTTCACATACTGTTGATTATTTGTATGTCTTATTTGAAAAGATGTCCATTTCTATCTCTTGTTCACTTTTTAATGGACTATTTTGTTGTTTTTGAGTTGTTTGTTTGTATATTCTGGTTATTATTCTCTGCCAGTCCTATGCTCAGTAGGGTTATCATTGGGAGCTGTGTAGACATTGCCACTAGTCCAAACTCAGAAGTGAGGCATAGGGGAGCATAACATGCCTGGCAGGGGCTCTCGAAGCTTGGGCAGATCAGTCCTGGGCTCCAGCCCAACGTCTAGTGTGCTTCTCTAGCAGACAGCCCTGTGCCCCCCTCCTCCCACCTCTCAGATTGCGGGGTCAGGATTGTTACAGGGAAACACAGACACCTTTAGTCTCTATGCCAGCTTATATGAGCAATCTCCAAGCAACAGGCTGAAGGACTTACATGGAAATGTGATCTAAACCTAGAGTCTAGCTTGCTTTATAATGTGTGATTATTAAGAGTTGGAGTATGTTAGCCACTAATTGTCTTCTTGCACTGAGCCCTGAAAATGTTAAATTTGGGCTTTTGGATAATCATTGGGCCCTTTCGATATGGAGAATTAACCTTTAGTTCTGGGAAATGTATTGTTTCATTGATGTGTTTCTCAATATATTCTGGTTTCTTGGTCTGAAATTAATGATTGTTGATATTAAAGAGAACAGGTTATAGAAGGTGGAAATCAAGATTCTACTTGGTACACGGTATGTTTACATTCATTTTAAATGACAGGTGGATTGCTGAGGTCCTTGACTCCTGTACAGATGCCTAAGCGCCTGCTGCAGTCCTGCTCCTGGCTTTGACTCCATTCTAAGTCAGTCACAGTGTCTCCTTCAGCTCTTTGGTAATCTCTGTTTTGGTTGTCTGGTAGGTTGATACCCAATATTTATTCTTGCCTGAAACACAAATCTCTCTCACTCATTTCTGACATTAGAGAGGGTCAGGAATAGGGTGTGAGTTGAGTGATATATGGAAGCATCACCTGTTCTCTTCCTGGACTCAGGAGACAAGGAGAAGCCTGCCTCCCACCAGGACTGGAACTTCCTCAGCTACCCACTCAAAGAGGCACATCTGACTGGCATTCACCTCTGCTCATTCTCTCTGACCTTCCTTACCTACTTGAAGGTCTACTGTAAGCTACCTAGGCAAAACTGCTCATGTCCAGTAACTCTTTTGAAGTAATGTTTGGTGAAACCAGAGACAATCATCCTGTTAACATCAGGGTACCTGCTAGGCCCAAGCAGCTACTCTATGACTCCCTTAAAGCATGTGACACTTAGTTGCAACTGTTTGACTTTCCACATAGCTGCAGAATATTTGACCACTGGTATTATATTCCTTCTCAACCCACATCACTATTTATGTCAGCAGAAAAACAGAAAGTTAATCTGCCTAATCAACTAGAAAATTCAATGTTACCTGTAGCAATTCTTATATTATTGAAAGGCCTTCCTGTAATGTAGTAGGTCTTTAAAAAGTTCATGAAAATGTATGTTATATTAAGAAATACCATAAAAGGATTCCACATTTTTTGGCATCAAAATGAACCTAAACTGATATGCTGTAAGATGTCTGAATAGGAGCTATTTCAAGGAATAATGAAAAATAAGACAGGAGTTTCAAAACATCCCCTATAAGAGCAAAATACATTTTTCTAAAATTAAAGTGAAAACAAAGAGAAAATTTATGGTTAAGCTTGCATGAAAGAAGGTAAAACCACTGATGCTTTCTGAAAAGTTCATATGGATAATGGCTGAAGAAATCAGCAGTTCACAAGTAGATATGTTATTTCAAGAAGGGATGAAATGGTGCTGAACCTCAAGTCTACGGTGACAGAGTATTCATATCAAATGTATCTTGTTGATACCATGATAGAAGAGGAATGAAGATTAAGAGTACAAACAATAGCCAACCCTTCATGTTTTTTAATTGGTTCATCTTACATGATTCTAACTGAAAAATTAATGTTGAGCAAATTTTTCACTCTGTGGATGCCAAAACTATGGCAACCAGAGCAGCTACAGACAAGAGAAGAAGCTTCCCTGAAAATTTAAATAAGGGGATAAAGATCCTGAAGCATTTCATCAAAGAATTGTGACAGCAGATATAACATGGCTTTATCAGTACAATCATGAAACAAAGCACAATCAAAGCAATGGCTACCAAGAGGTGGAAGTGGTCCAGTCAAAGAAGAGTGGATGAGGAAAGTGCAAAGGTAATTGTAAGAGTTTATTGGGAAGCTCAAGGCATTTTGCTTATTGACTTTCTGAAGGGCCAGAGAAGGACAATATATGCTTATTCTGAGAATATTTTGAGAAAGCCAGAACTCTAGTAGAGAAATGCCTGGGGGAGCTTCAGCAGAGTCCTTCACCACGACAGAGCTCCTGCTCATTTCTCTCATCAGACAGGGCAATTGGTGAGAGTTCTGATAGAAAACCATTAGGCATCCACATTACACCCTAATTTAGATCCTTTGGATGCTTTTTGTTTTGTAATCTCGTAACATCTGTAAAGACTATTTATTATTCTTCAGTTAATGTAAAAAGGACACACCAATAGCTGGTATGTTGACCAAAATGTATGAAAATTTCCCTTATGCTGTTCATTAATGAGTAGGATAGGGAAATGGTTGAAAACTGAGTATCTGATGGTAGAATTGAAACAAACTTACCAAATGACACCTTTACATTTGCTTTTTTCCATAGAGAACAAGAGGTAGAAGAATTAAAGATACTCCATCACTGTTGTAGACCTTTGGGGAGACCTAAAATTCAAATGTTTATTCAATTGGTTTTGAGCAATGTCTGCACTGCTTGAATTTGAAATTAAATGTGTCTTGTTTACTTGCATGAAGACACTTTATACATATCTCCCTTATCACTTCTATTCCTCTACTCTGATCTCAGTTCCTTTAAGGATTTGAGCTGGGCCTGAGATATCCCTGACTCAAATGAGACAAAAGCTTAACAGATCCATCCCAAAATTTTGTAAAGCATCAAGGAGGGTAGGGATTAAAATTGCTTATATGTGTTCAAATCACTATTCTACTTGGCTCTGTGGGAAATGGGGAAGGAGTGCTGAAGGATATAGGATGGAGCCACTTGTGATACCGAGGCAAGAAAGGAAGAGACTCCAAGTCTGTAGACTCCCTAGACACTGGGAGGTGCACTTTAAAAAGGTAAACCCTGGAGCAAGAAGTCAAGTGAAAAAGAAAGCCTTTTTGGTGGCCCTAGTCTTTTTTGTTTTTTGGGTGGTTTTCATTGTTGTTTTTTCAGACTTTGACTTGCTCTCTCTCTTAGGCTGGAGTGCAGTGGCGTAATCATGGCTCACAGTAGCCTTGCTCTCCCAGGCTCAATCTATACTCCCAGCTCACCCTCCCAAATAGCTGAGTCTACAGGTGCAAACCACCGAGCCAGGATCCTTTTGTAATTTTTTTATAAAGACTGGGTCTTACTATGTTGCCCAAGCATATCTCAAATTCCTTGTGTCAAGGAATTCTCCCACTTCTGCCCTTGAAAGTAGTTGGATTACAGGCATGAGCCATTTCGCCAGGCCTGTAGTCGTTGATTTTACCTCAGCCGTATTATCCACTTTCTATAAATCCCCAGTCAGAAGACAGCAGGCCTACCCGGGTACTGTAATAGACTCTAATTAAGCAGGTGTTAAACTGTGTTGTTACTGTAGGGAAGAAAGGAAAATGAAGTCCTCAAATTCAATTGAGATTTGAGCAAATGATGCACAAAAGAAAACTAAAAAAGACTTTGTGAATAGGAATTTTTTGGGACCCCTTCAGTGCACACTATGTATGCTATGATGTTAAATATACTTATAGTTTTATCTCGTAAGAGCCATAAAGGATCATCCAGGCAGAAGCTCCAAGTAGAAAAATGTTAGTGGGACAAAATCCCCTGCTATCTGAACCAGTGAGTGGATCTCAATTAAGCAAGAAGGCCTCTACCCTCCAATGTCCAAAACTTCCTTCATTGAACTTATTGTGTACTGTAAACAGAGAAAGTCCTGTGTGTGGGATAAAATAGAAAATTACTCAACATACTTTATAAAATCAGAAACAATCGACCAATTCTCAAGGAGTTAAATAATCAAGAGATGATAACCTTGAAACAATCTGGATATTAAAACGGTGAGATTTTCAATCTCACTGAAGCAGGTGTTACAAACATCCATTATGAGGTCAATGTGTACACTCTCAATTTAAATGGAAAAAAAATTCCCAGCAGAAAAAAGAAACTATATAATATAATGACATAGAAATTTTGATACTGAGATATGTAGTGTAAAAAATTAAATAAAATATTATTTGGTGTGATCACTAACAGAAAGGAAATGATGGAGGAAAGAGTCAGTATTCTTGAGGCTGGATTAATAGAAACTGTATACTCGAACACAGGGTAAAATTTTAAATACTGTTATGAACAAGAAAGGTTATAACAAATAATGTGATAATGATAAAATCTGAGCTTCAGAAGGGAAGAACAATGAGGATGCTATTGAGAGAGAACTCAAAGACATAATGGCTGAAAATTCTCCAAACTTGCAATGGGCATAAACCTACAGATGCAAGAAGATGAGCAACTGCCAACCAGAATATACCCAAGAAAATCCATGCAAGCAACACTGTAGTCAAATTTCTAAAAACTAAAAAAAATGTTTTGAAAGCAGCAAGAAACAAATGACACCATAGCTATAGGGAAAACACAATGTGAGTAACAGTGGTGTTATTACCAGAGAGCAGAATAACCAATAGGATGTAGCTAAAATATTCAAAGTGCTGAAAGAAAAAAAATGTCAACCAGATGTTTATGTCCAATATAACTACTCATCAATAAAGAGAAAATACAGGCATTCTTAGAAGACAGAAAAAAAAATCTAAGAGAATTTCTTTCCAACAGACCTATCTTATAAAATGGTTCTATGAAGGTCACTAATCATAAAGGAAAAAATAGAATAGGATTTTTCTGGAACATCAAGAATGAGCAACAACAACAAGAATGAGCAACAACAACAACAATGACAACAAGCCAAAAACAAAAATTGGAAATACAAAGTAGGTAAACACAAAATATCTTTCTTCTCACGTTTTCTGCATGAGTTTCAAATGGCTCAACTGGCCATTGCTAGCTTTAAAGATGGAAGAGGGCCAAGGAATGTGGCAAGATAATGAGCTTTTCTTCTAGAGACTCCAGGAAGGAACTCAGCCTTGAGACATGGATTTAACGCAGTGAGACCCAGTTCAGATTTCTGAGCTGCAAACCTGGAAGACAATAAATTTATGTCAAAGCAAAAATGACAAAATTTACTGTGGCACTAAATGCACATAGACATATATTTAATATGATTCTGTTACAAACAGTGGGAAAGGGGGAGCAGTTAAAAAGACAGGAAAGCAAGGTTTCCATATTTTACTGAATAGGGTAAAATGTGCACAGCACTAGGCTGTGAAAAGCTATGTATGCATAATGTAACACGGAGCAACCACTAACAATGCTGTACAGAGAGTCACGCAAAAAATTTACAGATCAACTAAAATGGAATCAAAAAACATTTTCAAGGAATCCATAGATCAGGAAAAAGAAAAACAATCAAAAGTAGTATAAATATGAAAAACAAAAATGGCTCAAAAATACCAATAATTACATTAAATGTAAATGGTTATTAAAAGTAGATTTCTGCCATTTCAGTTTCTGACTTACACTATTGCATAGATACTATGCAATACTAATAATACTAATAATGTTTTATACCATTAGCTCTTTTATTCCTATGGTAGCCCTTTAATAATTCCTTGCATTATGTTTACTCTTCAGATGAAAAAACAAAAGCTCAATATGATTGCCTGACATTTTCAGTCATATAGCTGGTAAACATCAGTCTGCTTGCTTAAATGTATTACTGAGTAATTAATTTTTTATAGCTTTGTAAAGGGAATTTCATAGCTGATTTTTCATTCCTGCTGGGTTATTGCTAGTATATAGAAATGCTACTAATTTTTGCATATTGATATTTTATCCTGCAATGTTATTGAATAGTCCTAAATTTTTTTGGTGGAGTTTAGATTTTTCTTTTTTTATGTTAACAATTTTTTTAACTTTTATTCTAAGTTCAGACGTACAACTGTATGTTTGTCACATAGGTAAACTTGTGTCATGGGGGTTTGTCGTACAGATTATTTCATCACCCAGGTATCAAGCCTAGTACCATTAGTTATTTTTCTTGATCCTCTTTCTCCTTCCACCCTCTACCCTCTGAAAGGCCCCAGTGTGTTTTTCCTAATATAAGACTATGTCGTCTGCAAACAGGAACAATTTAACTTCCTCTTTTCCAATTTGGATGGCTTTTATTTTTTTTGCTTGCCTGATTCTTCTCGCTAGGACATGACATAAAGTAAAATGTTGACTGAGTGGTGTCTTATTTCAGTTTTTAGAGAAATGGCTTTCAGTTTTCCCCATTCTGTATGTTAGGTGTGAGTTCGTCACATGTGGTTACATTATATAGAGGTATATTCCTTCTTTGTGTAGTTCGTTGGGAACTTTTATCATAAATGGATGCTAACTTTTATCAAATGCTTTTTCCTACATCTATTCATATGCTTATTTGGTTTTGTCTTTATTCTGTTAATGTGATGTACCACATTTATCGATTCATGTATGCTGAACCATTCTTGCATCCCTGGGATAAATACCACTTGATTATTGCTAATTATCTTTCTGATGTGTTCTTAGATTTGGTTTGCTAACATTTTCTTGAGGATTTTTGTGTCTGTGTTCATCAGAAATACTGACCTCTAATTTTTGTTATAGTTATTGTTGTTGTGTTCGTGTATGTTTTTAGCATTGGGGTATTCCTGGCATTGTAAAATTAGTTAGGAAGTATTCTCTTCTCTGAATTTGTTGGAATTGTTTGATGAGGAATGCTTTTCCTTTTTCCTTATAAGTTTGGTAGAATTCATCAGTGAAACCATCTAGGCCTGGACTTTGCTTTGTTGGGAGATTTCGTTTTTATTACTGATTCTATTTCTTTACTCATTATTAGTCTGTTCAGGTTTACCCTTCTTTCCTGGCTCATTTTGTGTGAGTTGTATATGTCAGGGAATTAATCTTTTTCCATGGTGTTCAATTATAGTGTATACTTGTTCAAAACATACGGTTTCATTAGTGTATTATTGTCCAAAATATACAGTTGTATTTCTATGATATAAGTTGTAATATCTTCTTTTTAGTTTCTGATTTTGTTTCATTCAGTTTTTTCTGTCTATATATATATTTTTATATATGTATAGATACACAATATCTATACTATATATATAGTATAGCATATATATATATACGTGTGTGTGTGTGTATATATATATATACACACACATATATAGTATAGCCTAGCTAGACACTTAGGAATTTTATTTATTGTTTCAATAAACCAACTTTTCATTACATTGAGTTTGGGTTTGTTTTTTTTTAGTTTCTAGTTGTTTGGTTCTGCTCTTATTTTTACTATATTTTTCCTTTCACTAATTTGGGGTTCAGTTTGTTTTTAGTTTTCTAGTTCCCTCAGGTGGATCACTGGGTTGTTTAATTGAAATCTCTCTACTTTTGGATGAAAGAATTTATTCAGAGCATCTCCCCTCTTAGCACTATTTGTGCTGTATGTTGTGTTTACATTGTCATATTTCAAAAACATTTTAATTTTCTTCTAAATTTCTTCATTGAACCAGTGGTTGCTCAGGAGCATGTTGTTTAATTTCCATGTATTCTTACAATTTCCAAAGTTCCTCTTAATATTGATTTTTAGTTTTATCCATTGTGGTATATGAAAATAAAGTATACTGCTTTTTCAAAATGTACTGAGACTTGTTTTGTGGCCTAACATACGGTCTGTATTAGAAAATCTTCCACAGGCTAATAAGAAAAATGGTATGTTTTGCCACTGTTAAATAAAAATGTCTATAATGTATATTGGGTCCCCTTATTCTTAAGATTAAGTCCAATATTTCTTTGTAGATTTTCTGTCTAAATAATCTGTTTAATGCTGAGAGTCAGGTGTTAAAGTTTACACTACTATTGTATTGGAATCTATTTATCCTTTTAGATGTCATAATGATAGCTTTATGTATCTAGGTATACTCTAGTGTTGGGGGAATATATTTAGTTTTGTTATATCCTCATGCTAAATTGATCTTTCTATTCTTAAATAATAACCTTCTTTTTCTCTCATTACTGTTTTTGACATAGAGTCTATTTTATCTGATGTTAATATACCTATTTCGACTTGTTTTTGTTTCTGTTTACATGGGATATTTTCTTCTATCCCTTCATTTTCAGTCTATATGTGTCTTATTAGGTGAAGTCAGTTTCTTGTAAGCAGCATATAGTTAGGATATTTTTTAAAAATTCACTCAGCCAGTCTATGTCTTTCAAGTGGAGAATTTAATCAATTTTCAATCAAGATTATTATTCATATGTGAGAAATTACTTCATTTTGTTATTTGTTTTTGTTTGTTTTACATATACTTTGTTTCTTTTTCTCTCACTTTTTATTATTGTGGTTTAGTATTTTTCTATAATAGTAAAATTTAAATCATTTCAAGTCTTCATTTGTCTGCTGTACTAGGGAGTATTTTAAATTTTTTGTGTTTTCATGACGGTAGATATTGTACTTTTGCTTTCAGGAGCAGAATTCCCTTAAGCATATCTTGTGGGGCAGTCATTGTGGTGATGAATTCTCTGTTTTTGCTTTTCAGGGAAAAACTTTATTGTTACTTCATTTTGAAGTTCGCCTGTGCTGAAGATAGTGCTCTTGGCTGGCAGATTTTTTTTCTTTGAACACTTTAAATATATGATTTTATCTCTCTTTCACAGTTTATACAGTGAAAATCACTGTTAATCTGATGAGGGTTCCATTATCATGACTCGATGCTTTTATCTTACTGTTTTTAGAATTAACGACTTTTGGCTTTTGACAGTTTGACCACTGTATGCCTTGGAGAAGGACTTCTGGGGTTGTGTCAATTTGAGTATCATTGAGGTCCTCTATTTGAATGTCTAAATCTCTTGCTAGACTTGACTTGACAAATTTTCAGCTATTATTTTTTTTTCTTTTTTTATTTTATTTTATTATTATTATACTTTAAGTTTTAGGGTACATGTGCTTAGTTTAAAATTTTTGTCATGCCTCTGCCCATCTCTTCTTCTTGAGTATTCTGGAATACTCAGAATCAAACCTTTGGTAACTACATGGTATGTTATATTGAATACTGGCTTTATTTAGATGATTTATTATATTTTCTATCTGGTTTATTTCAGAAATCTAGTCCTCAAGTGGTGAATTTTTTTCTTCTGCCTTACCTAGTCTATCGTTGAAGCTTTTGAAAATATTTTTTTTTTTTTACTTTATTCATTGAATTCTTTACTACCAAGATATCTGTTTGGTCTTTCTCATGACATCTAGGTATCTGGTGAATTTCTTATTCATATTCTGATTTTTTTCAGATTTTTGTATTGATTATCTTTGCTCTATTATATTTAACTAAGCTTCTATGATATCATATTTATGAATTTTTTAGAAGTTCATAGATTTTATTTTTGTTGCAATCTCCTGCTGAAGAATAATTGTGGTCCTGTAGGGGTGTCATGTTTTCTAGCATCTTCATGTTTATTGAGTCCCTATATTAGTATATGCACGTCTGGAGTAACAGCCTCTTCTTGATTGGCTTTCATAGGGGAACACTATTTTTTCTATAGATATATCTGTAGTGTTGGTTGCATACAGCACTTTAGCTTTGATTCTGGGTGTATACACTAGCATAATATCTGTATGGTTTCTTTGTCTCTAGTCGGGATCAGTGGTCTGTGATTTCCTCAGTTGCTAAGACTGAGGTTGTTAGTAAAAGTTTTTGTGAGGTTTTGATGGGAACAGGGGTACTAGATGGGCCAGTCTGCAACACATGTTAGTGGCAGCAGTGGAATGAGCATGCCGGTCTTTGAGCCTCCAGACAACAAACATTGACACCAATATCCACAGTTTCAGTTGGGTAAATTATTGTACCTCCAGGGAGTTTCCTGTGGTGCTGGAAGTTGCAGTGGTGGGCCTGGTGAGTGAGTGGTTCTTGAGACTTTGTGCAATGTGCCTGGCATGGGTGATAGCAATAGCAGTAGCAAGACAACCCTCAGGCTTCCAGGTTGAATGTGCTGGTGGTAATGGTGATGGCAATGGCCTATGTAGGCCAGTCCTAAGAATCCAAGGTGTCACATGCAGGTACGTACTGGCAATGGTCTTGGCACAGGCTGTGTAGGTTTGTCCTCAGACCCATCAGAGAAGTACATGGGTGCCAGCAGTGCTGGATGGAATGGGATGAACCCAGACCAGCTCCAAAGTGTCGGCAGTGATTATTATTCTTGCAGGTCAGGAAGAGGGAGGAATTTTCTGAAGGGTCAGTGTGGTTTCAGAGATAGCATATGGTTGTCTCAACAAAATAGCTACCCACTAGTTCCAAAGTGTTGCTGTAGAGGCAAGCTGACTTACTACCCCAACAAACAGAATACCAAAAACAAATATAGAGCTTTGAGATCTATGTCAGGAAAAATACATAGCTCAAGTATGAAAATGAGATGGTTCTCAGGGCCAAAGAGAAGTGGAAAATCATCAAGAAGACAGTAGGAGATGGGACTTCCACCTCCATGATGTCCCTCCTTCCTATTCTTCCTGGCACCACACATGCAGAGAATCTCCCCCAATTCATGGATTTTAGAGTGAATAAAGTGAAATTGATGTTCTCAAACAGATTATTTACCACCTTGGATTCCCTGGCAAGAAACTTGTTCTTCCTTAGCCCATGAGATGCATTATGACTCCCTTAGGGAAGATGAATATTCTCTGTCCTCAGGGAGGAATATTCCTGAAGAGAGCAAGAGACAAAATAGGGAGGAGGGAAGATCATCTCCAGTTCTGGACACTGTTCATAACTTGGCCAAAGGAGAAGCCAAATCAGGGTAGATGTTCAATAGCACCATGCTTTAGGAGGTACATTCCTTAGGTCACCAGACCATAACCCCTAGCCAAGTTTCTCATACTTCCAGGGTAATTCCTTTGGGACATTTCCCATTTCGGACAGTTAATACTCCAACCGTTTACTAAAGACAAGGTAAAAGTGAGGTTGAGACACCACCTAGAGTCAAAAGGGAGGCAACAGCCCAGCAGTGAGGATTTGCCAAGCAAATAGACTCAATAACAACAAACACAACCCAGACCTGAAAAACTGGAATTAATTAATAACCCTTCTATGGAAAGACATAGAAGTATACCCACAGGAAACAACAGCAAGCAAAGAGCCATGGCCTTCCCAAAAGGACAAAGGTACCAAACTAGTTACTGACCCCAATGACATGACAGTTGGTTAGCTCTCTGATCAAGAATTCAAAATAACAATTTTAAGGAAATCAGATATCTGCAAGATAGCATAGGAAAGCAATTTATTGATTTATCAGAGAATTTTAACAGAGATTGAAATAATTTTGAAAAATCAAACAGAAATCTGGGGACTGGTAACTAGATTTGCTGAACTGAAAACTCATTAGAGGCTCTCCATACTTTCCCACCTCTCAGCTTGCAGGATCAGTCAGGGTTGGTGCAGGGAAACACATGATTCTTCTGTCTCTTGGCCAGGTCAGTGCTGGGCCTCATCTCAGCTCCTGCCCACTGCTCCAGCAGACAGCCCTGCCACTCCGTATTTTCCCACCTCTCAGCTTGCAGGATCAGTCAGTGTTGGTGCAGGGAAACACATGATTCTTCTGTCTCTAGGCCAGGTTAGAAGGGCAGTCTCCAAGGGACAGGCTTCAGGACTTGGATGGAAACCTAACCTGAACCTAGGGTCGATTTTACTTTATAATGTATGGTTATTCAGAGATAGAGTATGTGAGCCTCCATTTGTCTTCCTGCACTGGGGCCTGAAAATGTTAAATCTGGTCTTTTAGATAATCAATGGCTTTTTTCATTATGGAGAGAATTATCCATAAGTTCTGGGTAATGTATGGCAGTATTTAATTGATAATGTCTTTCCCAATATATACTCTGTTTTCTTTTTCTAAAATTCATGTTGGGTGAATTTTTTAATTGTCTTCACATTATGGACCATATCTTTGCCTTTTTGCCCTACCTCATAGGGGATTTCCTTAACTTTACATTTTATTGAACTTATCAATTTAATTTACAATTGCTCATATTCTTTTGTGTTCTCTGGTCAATCTTCTATTTGATAGCATCCTTTTATGTTTTATGGTTATATCAGAATATATTAATTATAGTCTTGTAAACGTTTCTTCTGCTGTTTATCTTACCTCTTTTCCTTCAGAATTACACTTTGTTCTGATTCTTTGAGTCTCATTTGATGGAGAATTTCTTCAATTGTCTGGTCAACCTTTGATTCAATTCATACTTAAGAGTAGGCACTAAAACGATCAGAAAGCTCTATGCGTGTTGGAAAAGGTCTGGAGAATCATGCATTTCACAGTAGAGGGATTGGATGCCCAGGTAGCTATTTTGTTCAGATCTCCAGTTGCTGCCCCTGACACAGTGATGATCCTTCTGAAGAACCCTTCATTTTCCTGATCTGAGAATGTCATCTTCATTATTGGTGTTGGGAAGATTTAGGGTCTTATTTTAATAGAGAAAGCTGGGCTTTGCAAGTGGTTGTCCTGCTGTAAGTGGCAGAGTTAGAATGAAATCTACAGCTTCTCATTCCCAAGTCTGCACAACACTCCAAAGAAGTGACTGCCCCAACTTACAAATGCAGCCAACCTCAAGGTAAATTTGTACCACTTAGTTTTGTCACTTAAACTATTGCATATACATATTGCACAGTATAAATACATGCAATACTATCAAATTTTATATAAACTCATACATATCCTTTTGCAAAAGTCTAGTTTAAACATTACCAAATCAGGGATAGCTGTCTCCATACACAACTGAAACAAATTTGAGAGATGTAAGATTACCTGTTCTCTCTGCAGGAGGAAAATATAGGCCTCACAAAGATGTTTACATCTTAATTCCCAGAACCTGTGTTTTATGTTAAATTACATGGCGAAGGGCAATTAAGTTTGCTAATAATTTGGCCTAAAAATAGAGAGAGTTTCCTGGATCTAATATCAAGGTAAATGACAGGAAATGGCACATAGAGCTTTCTATCTTATAATGTGCTTTTGTATCTCAATGCCTTTTTCCCCTTTCAGAGCATACATTACTCAAAGACGGAAAATATGTGTGTGCTTTTTTTATTTCTGTGAAGTATGCTGATTGGTATTTTGTTTGGGATTGCATTAAATCTGAAGATCATTTTGATTAGTATGGCCACTTCCACAATATTAATTGTTCCAATCCATAAACATAGAGTATCTTTTCATTTATTTGCATCTTTTTCAATTTCTTTTATCAATGTTTCATAGTTTGCAGTATTAGAGATCTTTTATCTCCTTGGTTAAGTTTATTCCTAAGTATTTTATTCTTTTTTGGTTATTGTAAATGAAATTGTTTTCTGAATTATTTTTCATATAGTTCACCATTAGCATACAGAAATGCTACTAATTTTTGTACATTGATTTTCTATTCTGCAACTTTACCAGATTTATTCTAACAGTTTTTTGTTGAAGTCTTTAGAGTTTTCTATAAATAAGATCATGTCATCCGAAAAGATGAACAATTGACTTCCTTCTATTCAATTTCAATTTGTTTAGTTTCTATCTCTTGCCTAGTATATCTAGCTAATACTTTTAATACTATGTTGAATAGGAGTGATGAAAGTGAACATCCTTATCTTTATCCTAATCTTAGAGGAAATCTTTCACCTTTCCTTATTCTGCATGATGTTACTTGTGGGTTTGTCATATATGGCCTTTTTGTGTTGAGGTACATATCTTGTGTGTCTAATTTCTTGTGAGCTTTTCTTATGCAGGGATATTGAATTTTATAAAATACTTTCTCTGTGTCTATAGAGATGATCATATGGCCTTTGTCCTTCATTTTGTTAATAGGGTGCATCACATTTATTGATTTGTATATGTTGAATAAAACCCACTTGATCATAGTGAATGATCGTTTTCATGTGCTGCTGCGTTCACTTTGCTAAAATCTTGTTGAATTTTTGCATTGATATTCATCAGGGATGTTGGCTTGTGGCTTTTTTATTTGTTGTATCTTTGGTTTTGGAATCAGGGTAATGCTGGCTTTGTAAAATGCGTTTGGAAGTATTACTTCCTCTGCAATATCTGGAATTGTTTCAGGATAATTAGTATCAATTCCTCTTTAAATGTCTGGTAGAATTCAGCAGTAAAGCTATCAATCCTGATTTTTAAAAATTGATACATAATGTTTGTACATATTTATGGGACACATGATATTTTGTTATAAGCATATAGAATGTATAATGATCAAGTTAGGGTATCTGTCATCTTGAGTATTTATCATTTCTATGTTTGGGGAACTGTTCAAGTCCTTTCTTCTAGCTATTTTGAAATATTGTTAAACATAGTCACCCTAATCTGTTATCAAATATTTGAATTTATTCCTTCTAACTGTATGTTTGAACCCATTAATGAACCTCTCTTCATACTTGTCCTCCTGCCTCACAAACACTGGTCCATCTCTTGTAGCCATTATTCTATTCTCTACCTCTGTGTGATCAACATAAGTGAGAACATGCACTGTTTGTTTTTCTGTGCCTGGCTTATTTCCCTTAACATAATGCCCTCCAGTTCCATCCATGTTGCTACAAATTACATGATTTTATTCTTTTTTTATGGCTGAATAGTATTACATTGTGTATATATACCACTGTTTTTTTTTAATCCATTTGTCCACTGACGGACACTTAGGTTGATTCCATATCTTTGCTATGGTGAATAGTGCTGCAGTCAACATTTGAATATAGGTATCCCTTTGATGTCCTCATTTCTGTTTCTTTGGATAAATAGCCAGAAGTGAAATTGCTGGATCATATGGTCATTCCATTTTTAGTTATTTTGAGAAATCTCCATATTGTTTCCATAGTGACTGTACTAATTTACATTCCCACCAACGGTATGTAAGAGTTTTTCCTTGAATCCTCACCAGCATCTGTTTTTTTTTTCTTTTTAATAATACCCATTCTAACTGGAGAAGGATGATATTGTGTTTTTAATTTGCATTTCCCTGATGATGAGTGATGTTGAGCATTTTTTATATACCTACTGGACATTCGTATACTTTTTTTTGAGACATGTCTAAAGTGCAGTTAAAATCCAATGTTTATTTCTTAATTTTCACTCTGGATTATGTGTCTAAGGCTGAGAATGGGGCATTGAAGTCCCTCACTATTATTCTGTTGGAATCTATCTCCCCCTTTATGTCTAATAATATTTGCCTTATATATCTGGGTGCTCCAGTGTTGTTTGAATATTTAGAATTGTATTATCCCTCTTGCTGAATTGATCCCTTTATCTTACATGATGACCTTTTTTGTGTCTTTTTGCTGTTTGCAAATTAAAAATTAAAATCTGTTTTATCTGATACAAGTATAGTACTTCTCACTTTTTGTTTCTATTTGCATAGAATATCATTTTTCATCCCTTCACTTTAAGTCCATGTGTCTTTACAGAGAAATTTACTTTATTATTGGCAGCATATACTTGTGTCACGCTTTTTAAAATCCATTAAGCCAGTCTATATCTTTAAACTGAAAATTTTAGTTCATTTACCATCAAGCTTATTACTACCGGAGGATTTATTCTTGTCATTTTATTAATTGTTTTCTGGTTATTTCATATGTCCTTTTACCTTTCTATATTTTTTATTGTTTATAATTGTCATTTGTTGATTTTATGTAGTGGTAAAATTTGAATCCTTTCTCTTTTTCATTTGTGTATTTGGTTTACCAGTGAGTTTTATACTTGTGTGTGTTTTTGTGATGGACCATATTGTCTTTTTGCTTTAAAGTATAGAATTTCCTTCAGGATTTCTTGTAGGACCAGTGTAGTAGTGATGAATTTCCAGTTTTTCTTGTTTAGGAACGCCATTATTTCTACTTCATTTTTGAAGAATAGCTTTGCTGGAAATAGTATTCTTGGCTGATAAGATTTTTTTTGTTTCAATACTTTGAATATGTCATCTCATTCTCTCCTGGCCTGTAAGGTTTCTTCTGACAAATTCGTTGTTAATCTAATGGAGGTTCCCTTTTATATGACTTATATATCTTTTAAATGGGGAATTTAATTTGTTTACCTCAGGGTTATTATTCACATGTGAGGTTTTGGTTTTTCTATATTGCTCATTGTTTCCTGGTTGTTTTATATGTCCCTTTCTTCCTTTCTTCCTCTCTTATTGTTTATCATTTCTTTTAGTTTTCTGAAATAATAAGGCTTGATTCTCTTTATTCTTTGTGTGTCTTCTCTAACAGTGAGTATTTATGTATTTTCAAAATAGTGATTATCATCTGTTTGCTTCTAGATGTAGAACTCCCTTGAGCACTTGTTGTAAGGTTAGTCTAAAGCTTTTGCTTATCTGTGAAAGATTTTATTTCCTCTTTATTTATGAAGGATAACATTTCTGAGTATAGTATGTATGACTGAAAGTGTTTCTTCCAGAACTTTGAATATTCCATACTATTCTCTCCTAGCCTATAAACTTTCTGTTGATAAATTCTCTTTTGATCTGGTGATAGTTCCCTTACATATGACTGGATGCTTTTCTCTTTTTAATAATTTTTATCTTTGAAGTTTTTTTTTAATTTTAATTTTGCTTTAGTTGCCAGTGCTTGTGAGGTATTACTCAAGAAATCTTTGCCCACTATGGTGTTCTGGAGAGTTTCCCCAAAGTTTTCTTGTTGTAATGTTGTAGTTTTGCCAACGGACCCAGATAGCAGTCTCTTATTGTCTGAGATAATATCTGAAGTTCTTTGTCCTACGTCCAAGATGATTGAGAAGCACAGACACAATGTGAGGTTAAAGCATAAGTTTAACAAACAAAAGAAGAAAGCTCTCTGCCAGCGGAAAGAGGGACCCAAATGGATTGCCCTCTATGAGGCTGGGGTCCAGGGTGTTTATGGACTGGGAAGGGGAAGGAATGCACTTAGTCCATGGGCTGTCTTGGAGAACTTGTGACTCAGCTTGGCCCAGGGCCTTGGCTCTGGACCAATCAGGAGCTGAAACGATGGTTCATAGAGGCCAGGCTCACAGTCCAAACATGTCTGTTTCTATGCCAGTGTCATGCCATTTTGGTTACCATAGTTCTGTAGTATTTAAGACAATTTAAAGTCAGGTAATGTGATTCCTCCAAATTTGTTCTTTTTGCTTAGGACAGCTTTGGCTATTCTGAGTCTTTTGTGGTACCATATGAATTTTAGAATTGTATTTTCTGTTTCTGTGAAGAATGTCATTGATACTTTGATAGGGATTGCATTGAATCTGCAGAGTGCTTTGGGTAGTATGGACATTTTAACAAAACTGATTCTTCCAATCCGTGAACATAGAATGTCTTTCCATTTTAGTGTGTTATCTTCAATTTCTTGCACCAATGTTTTATACTTTTATACTTTTCATCTTTCACTTCTTTGGTTAATTCCTAGGTATTTTATCTTACTTGTAGCTATTGTAAATAAGAATACTTTCTTGATCTTTTTCAGACTGTTCCCTGTGGGCATATAAAAATGTTACTGAATTTTGTATGTTGATTTTGTATCCTGAAATTTTACTGAATGTTTCTATCAGTTCTAATACATTTTTGTGGAGTCTTTATTTTTTTCCAAACATAAAGTTTCATCATCTGCAAACAAAGATAATTTGACTCCTTCCTTTCCATTTTGGATGCTCTCTTTTCTTTTCCCTCCCCTCCCCTCCCCTCCCCTCCCCTCCCCTCCCCTGCCCTCCCCTGCCCTCCCCTCCCCTTCCCTCCCCTTCCCTCCCTTTCCCTTCCCTTCCCTTCCCTTCCCTTCCGTTCTCTTTTCTTTCATCTGATTGCTGTAGTTAGAACTTCCAGTACTATGCTGAATAACAATGATGACAGTGAGCATCCTTGTCATGTTCCAGATCTTAGAGGAAAGCTTTCAGTTTTTCCCCATTCAGTATGATATTAGGTGTGGGTCTGTCATATATGGTTTTAATAATGTTGATGCATTTTCCTTCTATGCCCAGTTTTTGATGATTTTTATCATGATGGAATGTTGAATTTTATCAAATGATTTTCATTATCTATTGCAATGCATATTAGTTTTGTCCTTCCTTCTGTTTATATGATTTATCAACATTCATTGGTTTGCACATGTTGAATTATTCTTGCATCCATGGGATAAATGCCACATAGTAATGATGAATTGTATTTTTAATGGGCTGTTGCATTCTGTTTGCTAGCATTTTGTTGAGAATTTTTGTATCAATGTTCATCCAAAATATTGGCCTGTATTTTTTTTAATGTGTCTTTGTCTAGTTTTCATATTAGGGTAATATTCACCTCACCAAATGAGTTTGAAAGTATTCCTTCCCTTTCTATTTTTCAGAATAGTTTGAGAAGGATCAGTATTAGTTCTTCTTTAGATATTTGGTAAAATTTAGCATTGAAGTCATCAGGTCCTGGTCTTTTGTTTGCTAGGACAGTTTTTATTATGGCTTTGATCTCATCACTTGTTATTTGTCTATTCAGGTTTTTGGATTTCTGTATAGTTCAATCTTGGCAGGTTACATTTGTCTAGGAATTTATCAGTTTCTTCAATTTATTAGCATATAGTTGCTCACAGTAGTCTCTAATAATCCCCTGAATTTCTGTGGTGTAGGTTGTAATATCTCCTTTTTCATCTCTAATTTTATTTATTTGGGTTTTCTCTCTTGTTTTCCTGGTTAGTCTGTCAAAAGGTTTGTCAATTTTGTTCATCTTCTCAAAAAACAAACTTTTTGTTTCATTCTTCTGTTGTATTTTTTAATTTTAATTTCATTTATTTATGCTCTAGTCTTTATTTCTTTTTTCTACTAATTTCGGGTTTGGTTTGCTCTTGCTTTTCTAGTTCTTTAAGATGCATCATTAGATTGTTTATGTGAAGTTTTTTTATTTTTTGATGTAGGCACATATAGCAATAATCTTCCTTCTTAGTACTGCTTTGGGGCTTACGGATAGGCTTATGTGCTTCTCTTCATAGCAGCAAGATCCCTTAGCTCCAGGCAGGTCCAAAAATGCTGTCCAGGAGCCACGGACCAGAGTCCAAAACTTTGGAAATTTACCTTGTGTTCTATTGTACTGCTGTTAAGCTGGCACTCAAACCAGTAGATGCAATTCTTCCCATTCTAATCTTCCCTTTTCATATGCAGGCACCTTGCCCCCTGGCCACCATCACCACAAGCCTATGGGAATATTCTCAGGCTACCACTGATGCTCACTTAAGGACCAAGGGCTCTTCATTCAGCCTGTGGTGAATAATGCTGCCAGATCTAGGACTCACCTTTTATAGTGGTGGGCTCCCCGTCTGGACCAGAGCAGGTCCATAAATGCTGTCCAAGAGCCAGGGCCTGGAATTGGGGACCTCAAGAGCCCACTTGGTGTTATACTTCTCTGTGGCTGACCTGGTACCTAAGGTTCAAGACAAAGTCCCCTTTACTTTTTCTCTCTGCTTTTCTCAGGCAGGAGGAATCTCTGACCATACCCACCACAGCTAGGAATGTGTTGGGTCTCACTGGAAACCAGCACATCTCAGAGTCTCACTCAAGGCCCACAGCATACTACCTGGATATCACCGCTTGTTATTCAAGGCCCAAGTGCTCTTTAATCAGCAGGTGATTGGTTCTTTCATTACTTGGCTCTTCCTTTCAATGCAGTAGGTTTCCTTCCAGCCCAGTGTGTGTCTAGAAATGTCATCTGGGAGCTAGAGTCTGAAATCAGGGCTTCATGACTCTGACCAGAGCTCTATCCTACTGAGGCTAAGCTGGTATCCAAGATGCCAGACAAAGTCCTCCTCACTCTTCCTTCTCCTCTCCTCATGTGGAAGGAAGTGGTCTCTTTTGGAGCCATAAGCTGTGTAGCTGGGGGTTGAGGGAGGGATGGCCCAAGTACTGCTTTAGCCACCCCAGCTGATGTTTCAGTAGGTCATGTACCCACCGCCCCCACCAGTCTACTTGCCCTGAGCCCAGCTGAGCACTAGGACTCACCTAGGATTTGTAGTCCTTGTGGCCTAGACTGCCTTTCAAATTTATTTAGAGACCCAGACTACTTTAGCCTACAGTGACAAGGCTTGCCAGAACTCAAGTTCTGGCTGCTGGAATGTACAGTTCTCTTCTGGCTAGGGCTGGTCTATATGCTCCCTCTGTGGGTGGACATCAGCTGAGTTCACCCCGGTTTTGCCTTCCATTGTCACAAGGCAGCACTGATTTCAATGCGAAGTTTCAAAATCACCACACTTTCCCTCCCCAAGTCTACAGATTCTCCATTCTATGTAGTTGCTGCTGGGTTAAGACAAGGGTGGCGATGGCAATTCAAGACTGTCTTTCCTACCCTCTTCAGTACCTCTTTCAGTAATATGAAGTTAAAAGCAGGTACTTTGAGTGATCACCTGATTTTTGGTTCTTATGGAAGTGCTTTGATTATGTAGGCAGTTGTTAAATTTGGTGTTCCTGTGGGTGGGATGATTGGTGGAGCCTTCTATTCCACCATATTGCTCTGCCACTTCTATAGTGTTTTTCTCTTTGACTTTTGACAGTTTGAGTATAATGTGACATGAAGAAAATATTTTTGGGTTGTATCTATCTAAGCTTCCTGTATCTAGGTGTTTAACTCTCTTGCTAGACTTGAGAGGTTTTCTTCTATTATTTCATTATATAGGTTTTTTATGTTTTTGCCTTTCATTTTGCCTTTGGGAAAAACCCAAATTCAAAAATTTGGTTGCTTTATGGCATCCCATATGTCATGTAGGATTTGTTCATCTTTTTCACATTTTATCCCTCTTTTTTTGTCTGACTGGGTTATTTAAAATATTTGTTTTCAAGTTCTGATATTCTTTCTTCTCACTGACCTATTCTATTTTTGAAGCTTTCAGATGTATTTTTCTTTCATTTATTGATTTATTTATCTCCAGCGTTTCTGTTTGATTCTTTTTTATGATATCCATTTCATTGTTGAATTTCTCTTTAATATCCTGAAATGGTTTTCTGGTTTCTTTCTATTTTTTACCTGTGTTCTCTTCTATCTCACTGAGCTCCATTAGTATCATTTTTTAAATATTTTCCCCAACATTACATAAATTTCTTTTTCATTGGAATCTACTGCTGGAGGAGTATTGTGTTGATTTGGAGGTGTCATATTTTCTTGCTTTTTCATGTTTCCTGTGTCCTTACATTGATGTCTGCGCATCTGGTGAAATAGTTGCTTCTTCTGTTTTTTAAATTGGCTTTCATAGGGGAAGATTTTTGTATCAGTCCATTCTCACATTGCTATAAAGAAATACCTGAGAGTGAGTAATTTATTTTTCAAAAAAAGGTTTAATTGGCTCATGGTTCCGCAGGCTGTACAGGAAGCATAGAAGCATATGCTTCTGGGGAAACCTTAAGGAGCTTTTACTTGTGGCAAAAGGCAAAGCTGGAGCAGGAGTCTTACATGGCAGGATCAGGACCAAGTGGGGGCGAGATGCAACACACTTTTAAACAACAAGATCTCATGAGAACTTACTCACCATCATGAGAACAGCAGTGAGAGAATAGTACTAAACCAGTTATGAAGAATCTGCCCTCATGATCCAGTCACCTCCCAACATGCCAGTCTTCCCCAACACTGGGGATTACAATTCAACATGAGATTTGGGTGGGGACACAGATCCAAACCATGTCATTCAGCCCATCACTACTCCCAAATCTCATGTCCTTCTCACATTTCAAAATACAATCATGCCTTCCCAAGAGTCCCCCAAAGTCTTAAATCATTTCAGCATTAGCTCAAAAGTCGAAAGTCCAAAGGCTGATCTCAGACAAGGCTAGTCTCTTTCACCTATGAGCCTGTAAATTCAAAAAACAGTTACTTCCAAGATACAAGGGGAGTACAAGCATTGGGTAAACACTCCTGTTCCAAAAAAGAGAAAGCTGTAAAAAGAAAGGGGCTACAGACCCCATGCAAATCTGAAACCAGCAGGGAAGTCATTAAATCTTAAAGCTGCAAAATAACCTCATTTGACTTTCTATGTTTCACAACCAGGCATACTGATGGAAGGGGTGGGTTCCCAAGGCCTTTTCAGTTCCACCCCTGTAGCTTTGCAGGGTTCATTTCCCACAGCTTCTCTCAAGGGCTGACATTGAGTGCCTGCAGCTTTTCCAGGTGCATGGTGCAAGCTGCCAGAGGATCTGTCATTCTGGGGTCTGCATGATGACAGCTCTCTTCTCACAGCTCCACTAGGCAGTGCCCCAGTGGGGACTCTGTGTAGGGGTTCCAACTCCACATTTTCCCTTTGCACTGCCCTAGTAGAGGTTCTCTGTGAGGGCACTGCCTCTGCAGCAGGCTTCTGCCTGGACATTTAGGCTTTTCTGTAGATCCTCTGAAATCAAAAGAGAGGCTCCCAAACCTCAACTCTTGCACTCTGCACACTCACAGACTTAACACCACATGGAAGCTGCCAAAGCTTATGGCTGGCATCCTCTGAAGCAGCAGCCCAAGTTGCAGCTGGACCCCTTTGAGCCACAGCTGGAGCTGGAGCAGCTGGGATGCAGGAAACAGTGTTTGGAGGCTGTGCAGGTCAGTGGGGCCCTGCGCCTGGACCAGGAAACCATTCTGCCCTCCTAGGACTCCAGGCCTGTGATGTGGGTGTGGCTACGAAAGTCTCTGAAATGCCTTCAATGTCTTTCTCCCATTGTCTTGGCTGTTAACATTTGGTTATTCTTTACTCATGCAAATTTCTGCAGCTAGGGTAAATTCTTCTCTAGAAAATGGGAATTTTTTTTCTACCACATGGCCAGGCTGCAAGTTTTCCAAACTTTTACACTCTGCTTCCCTTTTTAATACAAATTTGAGTTTTAGCTCATTTCTTTGCTTAGGCATATGAGCTTAGGTTGTTAGAAGCAGCCAGGTCATATTTTGAACACTTTGCTGCTTAGAAATTTCTTCCACCAGATACCCTAAATCATCACTCACAAGTTCAAAGTTCCACAAGTCCCTAAAGGAGGGGAACAATGCACCCAGGCTCTGTGCTAAAGCATAACAAAAGTGACTGCTCCAGTTGTTCCCAATAAGTTCCTTATTTTTATCTGAGATCTCCTCAGCCCAGACTTCATTTTCCATATCAGTATTAGCATTTTGGTCACAATTTACAAGTTTTTAGGAAGTTCCAAATTTTCCCTTATCTTCCTGTCTTCTGAGTCCTCCAAACTCTTCTAACCTCTGCTCATTACCCATCTCCAAAATCGCTTCCACATTTTTAGTATCTTTATAGCAATGCCCTACTCTTCGGTACCAATTTTCTGTATCAGTTCATTCTCACATTGCTATAAAGAAGTACCTGAGAGTGGGTAATTTATGAAGAAAAGAGGTTTAATTGGCTCACAGTTTCATAGGTTGTACAGGAAGCATAGTGACATCTGCTTCTGGGGAGGCCTCAGGGAGCTTTTGCTCATGGCAAATGGCAAAGCAGGAGCAGGCATCTTACATAGCAGGAGAAGGACTGGGTGGGGGGGAGGTGACACACACTTTTAAACAAGCAAATCTCATGAGAACTCACTCATTGTCATAAGAATAGTACGCAGGGGATGGTGCTAAACCATTCATGAAGGATCCACCCCCATGATCCAATTACCTCCAATGAAGCCCCTCCCCCAACATTGGAGATTATAATTCAACATGAGATTTGGGCAGTGACATAGATCCAAAACATTAACTTTTCTTTCTGAAGATGTATCTGTGGTGTTGATTCAGTAGGACACTTTGGCTTTGATTCTGTGTGTGTACAGTAAGGTGGTCTTATATTATTCCTTCAGCTATTAACAGCATAAGTGGTGTCTGTGACTTCCTCAGTGGCTTAGGCTGTAGTTGTGATTGGAGGCTGTAGTGAGGTTTTCCTGGGGACAGAGATTTTAGGTGGGCCAGTTCTTGGGCCCCAGTAGGGGTAACAGTGGGCTGAGAGTGCCTATATTTGGCACCTAGGCAACATATGTTTGTACCAGTTTTAGCAGCTTTAAGCAGAACAATTCTGGGGGCTTTAAGTAGCTTACCTGGGTACTAGCAGTTGCAATGGTAGGCTGAAAGGGTGGGTGGGCCTTTAGGCCTCTGGGAATGTGCTTGCCATGGGCAATTTCTGTAGCTTGGTTGGACAACCCTCAGATTCTCAAGTTGCAAGCTCTGGTGTTAGAGGTGGTTGTGATGGGCTGGGGGCCAGTCTCCAGACCTTCAGATGTTGCATGCATATTGTTTCTGGCTACAGTGCTACTGTCAGGCTGGTTGGGCCCATTCTCAGTCCTCCTAAAGGAATGTGCAAATGCCAGTGGTGGTGGACAAAGCAGGATGATTGCCACACCCCTGGGTAGTGTGCCTGGGCACTGGGATGATGGAACCAGGCTTGGCAGGCCTGTCCTCAGTCCCCCTAGTTATGTACATGGATGTTGGCTGTGGTAAGTTGGATGGGGTAATCCTTGGATCTCCCAATAGCAGGAGCAATACCTGAAGAAAGCCTGTCCTCGAGGCACATGCAAATTTGCTGCAGCTGTGCTGCTAGGGCAGGGTGTGGTTATTGTCAGTGGCAGCAGCCACTAGCAGGCAGCTCTCTGGCAATGTGGAGCACACTTTGGCTTCTGGCAGCAGCATAAGCCAGTCCTCAGGGTACGTGCAAGTTCACAGTGGCTCTGCTGCTGGTGGAAGTCAGGTCACTGCCAGTGGCACATGCTCTGGCCCCCAGCTGCATCAGCAGACTCAGCAGCAGATGGAGAGGGCCTGTCCCCAGGTTGCATGCAAGTGTGCAGCATCTCTGCTGCTGTGTTGCGGGGGTGACATTGCTGTCTGTGTCAGCAGCCACAGGGAGGCAGCTCTCTGGTTCTGGAAAGCATGTGCTTTGGCTCCCTATGTCTGGTTCACAGCCTTTCCAGTGCCTGAGGTGCAGAACACTGCATATGCTAGAATGCTGAGGATCCTGCCACTTTGCTGGGTCCAACTGGCATTTCACTGCTGCAGCCCCCGGTGGTGACAGCAGCAACTGTGCCACCAGCAGCAGTGGGAAGAGCCTTTTCTCAAGGTGTGTGCACTTACATGCACTGCTGTCTTCCTGCTGGGTGGGCGGGTTGCTGTCAGTGCTCACAGGTGTAGCAGGGCCATCCATCTCTGCAGAGTCCCATCTGAGGAGGCAGGGTCACTGCAGGACCAATTATTAGACCATGCACAAACTCAGAGTTGTTGTGGCCCAAGCAGGCTGTAGTCCTGGGGGTGGGCCCACCACAGGACCAGTTTTCAGGCTGGGCACCAGCATGCACAGGCTCAGCAGACTAGCTGGTTGTGAGGTGTGGGTGCATGTGGGTGTCGTGGCTAGTAGGCAGATGGGTGGCTTCCCTGCTGTTCACTTCTTCCCTGGATTGGTGGTGCACCACATGGGTTCGGATGCCGGGGTCTTGATTAGTTTATCTGGCTAGGCTCTGGGAAGCTAGGGTCATGGTGCTGCAGATACCTGTATGAATGTGTTGGAATGATGGTGGGGCCTCAAGTGATAGAGAGCCAGGTGCTACTGATGCTCAAAGCAAGACACACTCTCTATGTAGGTTCAGTTTGGAGATGGCACTGAGCCATAGCACCTTACATTGCAGGGGCAGAGGGTGCTCAAGGTGGTCTCTTACTATGTAAGGCAATGCAGTTTGGAAATCCCAACTGCTCTCCAGACTGGTTTTTGTGCCAGTGAGAACAGTGGGGCAAAGATTGTTGACATTTTTTATGGCAATGTGGACCACTGGGGAACTACAGCTTACTTTTTCCTGTAGAATGGAGTTACTGATGACCCTGAGCCAACCTTGACTGAAGAGAGAGTATGTCAGAGGCAGGATGCTATATTGAGTTTCTGTACTTCACAGAGGTGTTTCTGTTCCCCTGGTGGTCTCCAGCATACTTTTTAAATCACACTGGCTGACATAAAATTGTTTGTTTTCTTGATTTCTTTTTGTGGGGAAATGAGTGCCAGGGAACTCTAGTCAGCCATCTTGCTGATGTTCTAAATTCTATTTTTAAAAGATCACTCTGGCTGTTGTAAGGAGAACTGCTTGGGATGTGGTGAGGGGCAGGAATGTCACCAAGATCAGCTGGAGACTGTTGAAAGTCCTCCAGGAGGGAGAATCATGGCTTGACTCAGGACCTTCTGATAGAGATTATGAAACTGATCATATATGGGATATCTTTTGAAGGTAGAACCAATTGGATTTGCTAAGGGCAGTACACGGAGGAGACTAAACAATCAAGAGTGACACTTATGTTTTTGAATGGTTGAGTGAAACAAATGTCATGAACTGAGAAAAGATTGTGAGGTGTTATCAGCTAAATTGTGTTCCCTCCAAACTCTCATGTTGAATCCCTTACCCCCGATACCACTGAATGTGACTCTATTTGCAGCATGGCCTTTAAAGAGGTGATTAGGTTAAAATGAAGCTGATAGGGTTGGTGCTAATCCCATCTGACACCTGTCCTCATAAGAAAAGAACATTAGCACAGACCACAGAGGGGTACCAGGGATGCACGTCTACAGATAAAACCCCATGTGAAGATACAGCAAGAACCGGCCATCTAGAAGTGAAGGAGACAGGGCCTCAGAAGACACCAAACCTGTTGACACCTTAATCTTGTACTTCAAGCTCCAGAACTATGAGAAAGTAAATTTCTGTTGTTTAAGCCACTTGTGGGGCATTTTTTTAGGGTAGCCATAACAAATTAGTATGAAGGAGAGCAGGTTTTAGGAAGTAGAAATCAAGAATTATATTAGGGGTATGTTAAGTTTTCATCTGTTGTAAAAGGCAAGTGGATTGCTGAGAGTGTCCACTCACCTACAAGTGCCTAAGCTCCTGCTGCAGTCCTGCTTCTCGATTTGACCCCACCCTCACTCACTGACAGTGTCTGTTTCAGCTCCTCCGTCACCTCTGTTGTGGTTGTGTGTGGTGAGATCATAGCTGATGTTTATTATTTCCTGATACATTAATCTCTTTCTCTCATTGCTTACACTGGAGAATGTCAGGGTAAGGGTCTGAGCTGAGTGATATTTGCAGGCATCACCTGTTGTCTTCCTGCACTCACCAGCCAAGGAGAAGCCTGCCTTCCACCAGGACTGCAGTTTCCTCAGCCACCCACACAGTGAATCATGTCTGCATGGCACGCCCCTCTGCTCCTTCTCGCTGACCTTCCTTTCCTACCTGATGGTCTACCATAAGCCACCTAGGCAGAACTACTTATCTCCACTTCCCATGTTAAACAGTGTCTGGTGAAATCAGAGGCAGCAATCCTAGTAACACAGCTGGGTCTGTAGGCCCAAACAACTACTCTCTCTCACCCATAAAACCCTAAAGCACAGCTAGAACTCTTCTGCTTCCCACATAGAGAAGAATTGCTAACTCATAATATATTTCACCTTCAAAATATGTCCATAATTATGCCAGAGAAAATATTTATTTTTTGGTCACTTTGCCAAAGTAAAGTTATCCATAACAAACACCATTGATTAGAAAATCTTCCTGTAATATTACCTCCAACCCTTCAGAATTGCCAGACCAGACCTTCATCTGCACAGCACAGGATCCACTTATCCACAATGGTCAAGAGGCCTGTCTTTAAGATTTCCAGTCACATTCCCCCGACCCTGTCATACTTCCAACCAAGCTATCCTCAAATTATCACCAGCCCTGTACAAAAATGTAACAATAATACGAGACCTATACAATGCCTGTAATGAAAAGTGGCAGCTGGTGATACTGATTGATCTAGGGGTTCCATGAAAATATAAGCAGAAAACTACTAGATAGGACAGAAAAATCAGCAGGTGAAGATTAAGCTACCAACTCAGGACCCTACCAAACTTTTCAGAAACACAAAACCTTGGTGCCAAATTTTAAAAACAAAAAAGAAGAAAGCAAGCAAAGAGAAGTACAGAACCTTGTTTAGAAAATCAAATAAAGATTTCTCCCAGAACGCATGAAGAAAGCAGTAAGATATAAAACATAGACATAGGGAGGATTGATTCACAATATAACATATCAACAAGTAAGGTTCAGCACAAGAGTGAAGAAGAATGAGTATAAGAATATTGCAGAGAAAATAATCTTTGGTAAAGGCAATCTGAGAAGCAAATAGAATGGAAACTAATTAAAAAATAGAAAATCAATGTAATACTTGAGGCTTTCAACAGGCTATCATACTATCTAATTAGATTGTATTATTGTGTCCACTCAATAACCAGTGTGATTAAAATATTTGGTACAAGAAGTAAGACCTAAACTGAATCATATAGAACATTCTAGAAAAGAGAAAGATCATGGAAGAAGTCTTAGGGACATAAAATAGCATGGCTTGTTCAAGGAACTGTGTATTCACACTGTTCTGATGCAGAAATCTAATGGTGCTTTCTGTGGCCAATTTTGCCTTACTAACCTCCAGGGTATTAATAAAGATAGAATGTTTTAATACCTGTGTTCTACAACAATAAAGTATCTCTGGTTAATGCTAGATTAGGAGAATCTTAATCTCTTTGGGCCAGAGTAGCCTGAGGGTAAAACTTCTGTCATCCACGTGTGCCCAAGTGTGTGTTGTCCTCACACAACTCAACATTAAACAGAAATGATCTCTATATTATTATGAAATTAAGCTACATATCATCCATATAGGTATATATGCTATAAAAATGGAATTTATGCTACACTAATAGCTAGAGATATTAATCATTTTCACTTCTGGCTATAAGATCACTGCTGACAAACATATACAAACGTAAGCACGTGTGCACACAGACAACCAATGAAGGGGAAAGACTAACTGTCTAACCCAATTGAAAATCAAATGATGACCAAACTTCAATTGTAGTATTTGTGCTGATTGCTTGGATACTGTTTCTTCAGAAACTATGCTCAAGTCACAGTTTGTACCTAACCACATCCTACCACCACATCCTGCTGGGCTAAAATCCCAAAAAGTAATAAGAGACGCATTCAACTTTATGAGAGGAAAGCAAAACCTAATCTTTCAGGTGGTGAGGTCCACCCAGTATGGAGCTCAAAGGTGCCATTGTTCTGCTCATGTTTATAAAGGGAGCTGCCATGTTTCTCTCAACGCAGAGTTGGGAGCAACTCCAGAGCCTCCTTCAAGATGCTGCTGGTCCTGCTCTCAGTGGTCCTTCTGGCTCTGAGCTCAGCTCAGAGCACAGATAATGGTAAAAAAATTATTTTTTTAAAAAAGGAGATGGGGAGTGGGATGAGGGGCCATGACTCTTCTAGGGCCTCAGGGGTTCACCCTACACCACTGCAGCGGAAGAGCAGGAGGGGAGGAAGGAGGTTGAGAAGAAGGGTAGGGCTTTGGAGCTCTCATTCCAAGGATGACATCTGTTGTGCCCTCATTCCATGCCAAGGCCTTATACTTTATTTGATATACACTTGGAACCCAATAGAGAATTTCAATTAGAGGAATGACAAAGTAAGATTTGTATTTTTAGAAAGACCTGGCTGTGCTGTGAAGGATGCAGTGGAGAATGCAAGACTGATCCAGGGAAGTCCAGCTATGAAGATGCTACAGTAATCTCAGTGGACAGCGATGATGGTGTCCTTGCTGTACAGGGGATGCAGAATCAATGAAAGAGATAAACAAACATCAGAGTACTGTCAGACATAGAGGACTGGATAATACATTTGTGTCTTTCTACATAGTGGTATAGAAATATCAGGTCCCCAAATTCCCATTTTTCTTCCAATCACATTTAAAATTTCAATATGTTGCAGGCAGCATGTGTAAGATTATATCCAAATATTTACTCCTGGTTGCTCCTCTTGGGCAAGCTTGTGAATATGATCAAAATATTTAAAGAAGGAAGAAGGTAAAGATCTAAAATATGACATGAAAATACCCAGAGAAGTGTGCCTAAATTAGCATTAGGGTTTGAGGGATCCTAAGGATGACAAAAAGGGACTCTTCTATTGAATTCGTGGTTGATGCTCAGCGATAGTAACAATCCTGCCTCCCCTAACATCTTCCTCCCCTTCCAGCAGCTTCACAGAACATGGTTGATGAGGTAACTTAGGGGATGCACAGGGTGTGGCCAGAAGACCCCTTTCCCTATAGACCACTATGAGCCCTGAAAGATTTATGAGGTAATGTTCACTTCATCCTGTGCTTCTTTTCCTAGATGTGAACTATGAAGACTTTACTTTCACCATACCAGGTAAATCCCAATGATCCTCAATCCAATTCTTTTCTTTCTTTTTCCACTAGAATTTCTTTTTAGTTTCCTTCAGTGTCTTCTTCTCATCATTTTTTTGGGAGGAGGTGGTAAGAGGGGTCAGGCATTGATTAATATTAGTGCCCCTAAATATATAGGCAATTCTTACCCATCTTTGATTCTGGGGACCATGAGCCAGGCCACCAACTTGAATACAGAGATGCCTGGCTTTGAGGACAATAGGAGTGGGCAGGCTTTTTTCCCAGGCTGGAATGACTGCTGAGAGATGATGAACAAATGAGAAGTGTTCTCATTCTGACTCCTCCATCCTTAACTGCTTCTTTCTTCCCCCAGTGTTCCCCCGCACGGTTATGTGGCTTCAGGGAGTAACACAAAACAAAACAAAAAAATCACTGCATGAATGTCTTTTCTCTGTGTTGACCCACTCAGCTGTGTCACTACAGATGATAAATAGTTGCCACAGCTGTTTAGTGATCATGTGCAGGCTTTCACATTGTCTTTCTCTTCTGTCTCTTAGTATTTCTCTACTTGGTTCCAGGAGCCTGGGAAATCAGCTCTAGTTTCCACATAGGGCTTAGGTGCCCAGAGATGGAGTCACAGTTTGTAAGTCATTACAGCAACCAAAAAATAAAAATAAAAAATAACCAGTAACATAACTGAAAGCTATAATGCTTTTGCTTTTTTTTTTTTTTCTGTCCTTGGAGACATCCTCTGGCAACTCTAAGATATGCAAGAACCCCTCTTTTCATTTAAGGAAACATACTTGTCACAGGAGCAAATAAATGAGACTTTCCATATCACTCTTACATGGATTAAGTTGAGAGCTGCATAAAAAGAAAAAAAAAACAGTGGGCACAAAAGAAGTTGACAGTCAAGCAGCAGGTTTGGGGAGAACAGGGCTGTGTGGTAAGGTGAGAGAAGTATAAAGAGAGGAGAGTTTTTCTTCACTGAGCTCATGCATTCTTGTCCATTAATTACTCACACAGATGTAGAGGACTCAAGTCAGAGACCAGATCAGGGACCCCAGAGACCTCCTCCTGAAGGACTCCTACCTAGACCCCCTGGTGATAGTGGTAACCAAGATGATGGTCCTCAGCAGAGACCACCAAAACCAGGAGGCCATCACCGCCATCCTCCCCCACCTCCTTTTCAAAATCAGCAACGACCACCCCGACGAGGACACCGTCAACTCTCTCTACCCCGATTTCCTTCTGTCAGCCTGCAGGAAGCATCATCATTCTTCCAGAGGGACAGACCAGCAAGACATCCCCAGGAGCAACCACTCTGGTAATCTAGAATTCAGTGGCAGGTATGATTCCAGTTCATTCTCCATTAAATGCCCAAACTGCTACCATTCCCAAACTTTATCGTGTTCACAAATCAATTGGAAATATGTTGAAATTACATAATCCTGGACCCCATTTCTAAAGATTTGTATTCAGATATTCTTGGATAAGGTTGCAAGTCCTTGTATTTTTAACAAGTGGTTCAAAGAATTCTTATCTTTTGAAATACTGACCTCCCCAACTTTTTTCTTAAGATGACTTGTCTCATTAAAATGAGTTGGTAATGAGGAAGTGGGGTGTGCTCTCCCTTTGGTGCTCTGCCTCCTGTCTTTGAGTCTGCCTTCTCAAACCCAAGGACTCTCCATCTCAGGTTTCTCTCAGGTTTCCGCCAGAGGACTCTTTGCTCAGTCCTGCCTCACACTAGCCTCTCAGGTCCAGTGTCCCTGCTAAATGATACTTGAACTTGATGCTCTTATATCTTATTTAATTTTTAAAATACTTATTTTGAAATTAGTACATGCTCAAGGAAAAAAAAATCTAACTGAACAGAATGGTATGAAGCTAAATCTTAAAGTGACGCCTTATCCTACTTACCCACACCCTTCACCAAAAGTCACCACCCTTAATTTTTTGAACATCCTCCTGGAAATATTTATATGTATATAAGCATACGTCATTATTTTTCCCACAAATGACATATTATTTTATATGCAGATCTGTATTTGCTTATTTCAAATAATACATGTCTTAGACAACTTTATCATTTCACGGAGACCTATAGATCTTCTTGGTGATTTATTTGTACATTTTTCTTTTGTTGTTACAATTGTATACTATTCTCTTGTGTGACTGTACCATGATTTCCTCAGTCAACCACTGTTAATTGATATGTAGGCTTGTATTAGTTTTTCACTACTACAGGTTCAAGTTGCAGTCATTTTCATAAATATAACCTTGAATGTTTTGAACAGTAACCAAAACATAAACACCATAAAAAAATCTGTTTTCTTAATCTTGAAAGCAATAATTTACTTCAGTAATATCATCAAGGAATTAGATAAGTTTTGCCATGTTGTATGTTGTGTATAAATTTCCTTGGTTTTTTTTTTTGTTTCAGAAAATAAATAAGAAGATAACTTCCTTCAGAAAGCCATGACATTGAAATAATGTGGTCATAACTCTTTCTTCAGTATACCAATAAAATATTAATAGCATGCAATTTCTGATTGTTGCTTCTCTTTGTGGGTGTTTCTGAGTCTAGAATTTGAGGGCCATTAATACAATCTAAGAATATCTGGGACTCTTGCTCATTGATGCTTCCAGCAGGCTTCCCTCCTCCTTTATCTTAATAAAGCCAGCTGCCAAGGAGAAAGAGTTCCATTGTTCCCCTTCTGTCCTAGATTGCATAGCACAAATGCAAATTCTTAAAATTATTTTTACATCTTTCATTGATATTCTTGTAACTCTAGGAAAACAAGGAATATATAACAAATGAGAGGGAGTTGCAAGTGCTGGGGAATTCTTAAAATTTCCAAAACTATTAATCCTGGTTTCTAGGGGCATAAATGTAGTTCTAGATCTCTTCTCTATAAAACTCACTATGCTCTTTTCTCCTCTTTTTTCATTGCTCAGCTCTCTTCCTCCCTAAGTCGTTCACCATTCTTTTTAAAAACTTGAGTGGATTTCATAAAGGGTGCAGCATAATGTACTTTAAAGGGCAAGAAATTTGAGTAAAACTCTGTTCTGATTGTAAAAATTCCAGCAATATCAGTATTATTGTCAGATAATATAGACTACCAAATTTAACTCAAGTTGCTGAGGCAAAGTTGAATAGAAAATAACCCTAAGAAGCAAAAGAATTTGATATGTAACTGTCTCCAGCTACCTCTCATTATCACCTCCAATGTCGCTGAATACAGAAAATTTTAATATCTAATCTTTATCATTAAAAAGCACATAATTCTTTTTTAGATTTTTTAAGTACAGGAAACAACAAGTTTCTGAATTCATTCTGAGTTTCATTAAACAAAATATATAGGACAGCAAGGATACTCTGTTAGGGAAACTATTCAATAGTACATAAACAAACGAACAGTATGCTAAAAGAATAATAAACCACGTTGAAAGAGGATGAGGATGTTAAAGATGGTTCAATATTAGAAAATTGGCCACACCATATCTGATTTTGATGATATTTAGATAAGACTTTGGATTTAGATTTTAAAGTGGATGCTGGAATGAGTTAAGACTTTGGGATTTGGGAGATGAAATAAATGTACTTAGTATGTGAGAAGACCATATATTTCGGGGGATGACCAGGGACAGAATGCTATAGTTTGAATGTTTATGTCTCTACAAAATAAATTTATGTTGAAACTTAATTCCCTATGCAATAGTATTAAGAGATGGAGTCTTTGGGGGAAGTGACTAAGTCGTGTGGACTCTGCTTTCATGAATGGGATCAATTTCCCTACAAAAAGAAGCTCCCAAAGGCTGCTGAGCTGTTCCATCTCTTTTGACATGTAGGGACTCAATGTTCATGTTTCTTTCATACTTCTGCCTCATGAGAGAGAAGCCAGGAGAAATTGTCTGTTTGGAATGGGCTCTCACTCAACCCCAAATCTGGTACCATCTCAATCTTCAACTTTCCAGCCTCCAGAGCTATGACAAATCCATTTATATTATTTATAAATTACCCAAGATAAGATATTTTGTTAATAGCAGCTCGAACTGGCTAAGGCAGAGGGCTACTTACAAGAATTAAATGCATAATATATATAAAATTACCTTATAAAATGTATATAAAATTACCCTACAAGATGTATATAAAATTACACGATTTAAGTCTTGTAAAATGCAACATGTATACAAAATTACCCTACATGACATACAACAATAAAAGTTCAATACATTTAAATTTATTTATTCTTTTATTAAAAAAGACTCGTTTTGTTCTTTCTAATAATGAATTACCTTCTAATAATAAATTATCTTTCTAATAATGAATTAACTTCTAATAATGAATTATCTAAAAAATAGATTATTTGATAAACACTTGCTTTCTTTAGCATTAAAGCCATTCAAAAAAGAAGCAGAAAGGCCATCTAAAAGGTATGTTGATGAACAAACGCACTGTTGCATGTCATCAGGTGGCTGGTTAACGTGAATAAAAACTAAGTCTCCTTCCTCATTTAAATTCCAATGATTCTGCTCCTTAACATTTAATATTCAGCCTATTCTCTACCTATACAGAGAGTAATGCCACCTGTAGGTCTATCGTTGCTCAGTTGTTATCTGAGAAGTAAAGCCCAGTTCCTCTTGAAAAGGCAGAGAATTTAGACAGAAATTCACCAACTGCTTTCTTACAGAAAGTAAACCAATTTCTGCTTCCAGAAAAATGGAGTAAATGTATTTTGCCCTATTCCTTCTACTAAGAAAAACTATAAACCCTGAACATTATATATAAAATATATGAAAACTCAGACCTGGAGAGACCAAGGCAGATGTGGTAGGGACTTAATAAATTGTATAGTGATGAATCCTCTAAGTTTTCTTTTCTGCTTTATAATTTGCAGACTTTTAGCTGAAAATGCCATCAACATAGAAATACTAACAGGCACATATGAGAATTTCCCAACAAAAGCCTATTATTTTAGGCAAAGGTCAAGGAAATAGTCTACCAAGGCAGAAAACATTTCGACAATAACCACTCTACTGTAGTCAAGTACCACAGAAAACACTATTACCTCAAGTGAAGAGCTTAGATCTTTAGATCTTCATACCAGCCAGGCTGTGACAAGGTGTCCCAACCCTCCTCCAGAATAGTATCTCAGAATAGCAGAAGTTGGAACTTTCATCCCCAACTTGTGGTAATAAGCCCCTCACTCTCCTTCCACACCTTGATATGACTGGAGAGCAAATGGGGAGCTGGATCTACTCTAAAAGCAGCAATGAAGAAGCACCCTCCTTTCCATACCAGGTGGTGCTTGTGGAGGCCATGTGGGAAACAGTAACAAGTCACTTCTTCCTCCGAGACAGGCTATCAGTGGAGGCCCAGTGGTGACCCAGAATCCACCCTCCAGCCAGCAGTAATGAGGAACCTCCGCCTGCCTAGGTGTCAACAGAGATTGAGAGGAAACCTTTATTTCTATCATCACCTGGCAGTAATGCAGTGTCCCTCCCTCACTCCCTTGCCTTGCTGGAGTAGTGTCTGAGGAAGCTAGCTAAGACAGAAAAGGTAAATAAGTTCTAGAGTCTCATAATGCCTAAAATGTCCTGGTTCATTTAGAAATCATTTGGTATACAAAGAACCAGGAAAAATCTCAACTTGAATGTAAAAGGTAATTAGAAGATTCCAGAACAAAAATGACAAAGATGTTGGAATTATTCAGAAAATATTTTAAAGCAGTCATCATAAAAATGCTTCCAGTATATTGCTTACAAACATATATGAAACAAATTTAAAAATTATCTCAGCCAAAAAATTAAAATATATGAAAGAACTGAATGGACATTTTAGAACTGAAACTTACAATAACCACATAAAAAATTCATGAAGGTAAGCAGGAAAAAACTATAAACACAGCCTCAGGGACCTGTAGTATTATAACTGAAGGCCTAATTTTTGTGTTATCAGAGTCCCAGAAGGAGAGAAGAAATGGGCAACTTTGAGAAAGGTCTCAAAGACTGAAAACTTCCTTAATTTGGCAATAGGCAAAAACCCACAGATTCCTAAATTCAAGCAAACCCAAAATCTCTTAGCCATTTTAGGCTACTGTATCAGAATACCATAGAATGGGTGGTTTATAAAAACAAAAATGTGTTGCTCACAATACTGGAGGCTGGAAGACCGTGATCAGAATGCCAGCACAGATGAGTTCTGCTGAAGACATTTTTTGGCTATAGATGGACATCATCTCATTGTATCCTCACATGTTGGAGAAAAGAAAAAGATATCTCTTGTCTCCTTCTCCCTCTCTCTCTCTCTTTTTTTTTTTTATAAGGCCTCTGATCTCAACATGAGGGCCCCACCCTCATGACTTAATCTAACCCTAATTACCTCCCAAAGGCCTAACCTCCAAA
Source organism: Homo sapiens (assembly GCF_000001405.40). NCBI lineage: Eukaryota > Metazoa > Chordata > Mammalia > Primates > Hominidae > Homo > Homo sapiens. The sequence goes on along the minus strand of NT_187658.1, from coordinate 40,691 downwards.
TAACATCACATTGAATTTAGGATGTCTACATATGAATTTTGAGGGGACACAAACTTTCAGTGCATAAAACTAACCAAGACAAACACAAAGAATCCAAACTAAGGTATACCATGGTAAAATATCTGAAAATTAAAAGAAAGAACAAATTTTGAAAGCAGCTAGAGGAAATAGCTCATCTATAGGAGAGAAAACAATACAAATGGAAGCAGGAAACATCAGAAATAGATGAAAGCCATAGAAAAGTGGCACAACACTGTCTATGTGATGAAATAAAATAACTTTCAATTCTGGTTTTTATATCTGGTATATTTGTCTTTTAGGAATGGAAGGGCTATAAAGACATTTGATGAAAGAAAGCTGAGAGGATTTGTCACCAGAAGGTCTACCTTTTAAAAAGGGGCTCAAGAAAATTCTCTATCCAGGAAAAAAAAAAAGAAAAAAGATTAAAAAAGAAACTTTAAAACACCAAAATTAAAGAAAACACAATGGAAAGGGAAAAAATGAATAACTTCATCTTCCTTTTCCTCTTCAGTTTGGTAAATTTATTTGACAGCTGAAGTTAAAATTATGACATTATCAGATGCGATTTTAAGTGTATATAGGTAAATATTTAAGACAACTATATAAGGAACAGAGGAGGGTAAAGAGACATATAGGGAATCAAGGAATAAGGTTTCCGTACATCTTTCAAAGTACTAAAATTTTGACCCTATTAAACCATGATAAGTTATTACATGTGCTGTAAAACCTACAGCATCCACTAAGATGTCTGCACACAGAGATATACTCAAAAATACCACAGATAAACCTCAATGGAATTCTAAAAAAAGAAAATTAAAGTAACACACATGAAAGCAAGGCGTACAAAACAACAATTACAAAAAAAGAAAAAAAAACGGATAAGCAGAAATCATAAAGTAAAATGGCAGGTTTGTGACCCAACATATCAATAATTACAAATAAAAGTGGTCTAATGTGAACAAAGTTGCTGAGTATTGAAGAGTGTCTATATTATAGAAATAAAATAGCATATGCTATTATCAAATTTTATGGGATATTTATATTTTTATATACATTGTACAAATGTTATGTTAAATATTTTAATATTTTGTACAATTAATTTTTGGTACAAAGTAATTATTTTGTACTATTAATATTATTGTATAAAACATGTATATTTTGTAAGTAACCCATATAAAGCTCTCAGCTCCATCCATGCTTGGCACAGGGAAGCTGATATGGTTTGGATGTTTGTCCCCTGAAAACCTCATGTTGAAATGTGATTCTCGATGTTGTGATAGCACCTGGTAGGAGGTGATTGGATCATGGGGCAGATTCCTCATGAATGGTGTAGCAGAAGCTTGTCCAACACATGGCCAGCATTCTGCATGCAGCCCAGAATGGCTTTGAATATGACCCAATACAAATTCATAAACTTTCTTAAAACATTGAGTTTTTTGGCAATTTGTTTTAGCTCATCACCCATCGTTAGTATATTTTTTTGTATGGCCCAAGACAATTCTTTTTCTTCCGGCGTGGCCTAGGGAAGCCAAAAGATTGGACACTCCTGGTTTAACACCATTCTCTCGGTGATTAGTGAGTTCTTGCTCTGAGTTCATGCAAGATCTGGTTGTTTGAATGTGTGTGGCGCCTCCTCTACTTGCTCCCACTCTCACCATGTGACACGCCTCCTCCCCCTTTGCCTCTTGCCATGATTGTAAGCTTCCAGAGGCCTCATCAGAAGCTAATCAGATACTAGTGCCATGCCTGTACACCCTGCAGAACTATGAGCTAATTAAATCTCTTTTATTAATTACCTTTATTTTTTATTTTTTTATTTTTTTTGAGATGGAGTCTCGCTCTGTCATCAGGCTGGAGTGCAGTGGCGCGATCTTGGCTCACTGCAACCTCCACCTCCCGGCTTCAAGTGATTCTCCTGCCTCTGCCTGCTGAGTAGGTGGGACTACAGGCACCCGCCACCACGCCCGGCTAATTTTTTGTATTTTTAGTAGAGACAGGGTTTCACCGTGTTGGCCAGGATGGTCTCAATCTCCTGACTTCGTGATCCGCCCGCCTCTGCCTCTCAAAGTGCTGGGATTACAGGTGTGAGCCACCATGCAGGGCCCCTCTATTTCTTTATGGCAACACAAGAATGGCCTAATACAGAAGCCTTCACTGAGAGCTGCTAGAGTGAAGACAGTCACTGGGTGGGGCTCCCCATCGCTTGCTTGCTATGTCGAGTTCCCACATGGCTGTCTCAGAGGTCTTACTTGTCCTGATATCTACACTATTCCTAAGTGACCTTGTCTAAGCCCATGGCTTCAAATGTTACTGAAATCAAGTTTACAATCACAGCTGATAATGTCATAATTGTAACTTCAACTGTCAAATACATTTACCAAACTGAAGAAGAAAAGGAAGATGAATTTATTCATTCTTCCTTTCCATTGTGTTTTCTTTAATCTTTTTGTTTGAAACTTTCTTTTTTATTTTTCTTGGCTAGAGAATTTTCTTTAGCCCCCTTTTAAAAGGTAGATGTTCTGGTGACAAATCCTCTTAGTTTTCTTTCATCAAATATCTCTATAGCCCTTCCATTCCTAAAAGATAAATTCACCAGTTTCAGTGGCATTTGAAGCCATGGGCTTAGATAAGGTCACTTATCTAAGTTATAGCATGGCACAGGTGCTATAACGCCTTCAATGAACCCAGGTTTGGCACCCACCTCATTATTCTCTAGGCAGCTACTTTCATTCATCAGTTGAAATTTGAAAAAAAAAAAAAAAGAAAGAAAAAAACCAACAACACTTAAAAAATCTGGACAGATAGTTTGAGTGCCTATTTTGAATCCACTAATATTTATTCCTGGCTAAATTGTGCACATCAGACTAGTGGACCATCACAAAATTTCATACTGAAATGTATTGGATATAAAAAGAAAATAGAAAAAGTGAAAACATATTAACTGGCAGAAGAGAAATACTACAGTCTTAAAATGAATCAGGACGAGCCTTCAGACTACTTTTCTATTTAGAAGAAAAGTCCTGAGACAATGGGTTTTATCAAGCCAGGATAAAGAAACATAAAATCTGACGAGTTAATGGGTGCAGCACACCAACATGGCACATGTATACATATGTAACAAACCTGCACGTTGTGCACATGTACCCTAGAACTTAAAGTATAATAATAATGAAATGAAAATAATAATAACAATAAAGGGGGCTGAGAATAAAAGAAAAGAGCACTTAAAGACTGAAAAAAAAAGATTAGGATTATCTTTTCAACTAATCATTTTGGAACAGTTGAATATTCATATGTAAAAGAAGGCTCTTCGTGTCTCTTTTCTTCCTAAGTGAGGGACTTGAAAGACACATGTTTAGTGTTAGATACTCCACTAGCTTGTATTCCTGAGAGACTACATGAAAACTATCCTCACCTCACTCTGCATTTTTAAATTCAATTAGTCATGTAATGTGAACCGAGAAATGAACCTTTCATGAAACTTACATTGTAGATGCTACAGCATAGCCTATCCTATCATGTCTCATCCAAAGAGTAAAAAGTTTCTCAATAAGTAATAGTCAACAAAAGTGAAATGATGTAAAGCTTTTGGTATTTTATTTATACCTCACCAGAATTAAAGATGACTGAGCTAATAGTGTTACTACAAGGTATAATAAAATTATGAAAAATATACACAGATGTTACATATTCTATAAGGAAAAATGTCATATGTAACTTGTTTTTGCCTTAAATGCTTTAATTGAGATATAGTTCACATAATATACAATTCACTCATTTAGTGTTCAATTAAATGATTTTTAATATATTCCACAGACATGTGCAACCATCACCACTGTCAATTGTAGAACATTTTATCACTTCAAAAAGAAACCCCATATCCATTAGATATCACCTCCCTATTCCCCCATCATCCCACCTTTCTCCCCACCCCAGCCTAAGCATCTATTAATCTTCTTCCTGCATCTGTATATTTTCCTATTCTGGACTTTCGACTGAATGGCATTATATAATATGGGATCTTTTGTGATTGGTTTCTTTTACTTAGCATAATTTCAAGACTCATACATGTTGTACGTATCAGTACTTTATTCCCTTTAATAGTTAAATAATATTTGATTACATGACTAAACCACCTTTTGTCTATTTATTTATTCATTGATGAACATTTGGGTTTTTTTCTATCTTTTGGCTACTATAAATAATGATGCTAAGAAAATAAAAACTAAGCTAGTAAAAGACTTTCCTTATGTATGTGCTAAATAATTCTATTTTAGTTATGCATTGATCTTTAAAACACCCTGAGTCCAAAACTCAGAGATACAAAACAACAATATTTTATTTTATTTTATTTTGTGTATTTTTTCTTCAACTTTTAAGTTCTGAAGTACATGTGCAGAATGTGCGGTTACATTGGTAAACATGTGCCATGGTGGTCTGATGCACAGATCAGCCCATCACCTAGGTATTAAGCCCAACATCTACTAGCTATTCTTCCTGATGTTCCTCCTCCCCCAACCCCCACCCCAATAGGCCCTAGTGGGTGTAAAACAACAGTACTTTATTATGCTTCCAGATTCTGTGGGTCAGTAATTCAGACAGGGCACTATGAGAAGGCTTGTCTCTTCTTCAAAATGTCTAGACCTTCACCTTAGAATATGTAGACAGCGGACTATGACTCAAGTGGCAGGGGCTGCAATAACCAAGCAGACCTTTACTCTCATGTCTATCACTGGACTTGGATGATCAGAAGTACGGGCTCATTTGAAATGGTTGACTATATTGCCTACATGTGGCCTCCTCGTGTGGCTTGAGCTTCCTCACAGCATGCTGGTCTCAACTTTGTCAGACTTCTTATGAAGTGGTTCAGGATTGTAAGAGGAAACTTTCCAGTGAGTAACGGAAAAGCCATACAGTTTTTCTTGATAGCCTTAGAAAGTATATGATGTCGTTTCCACCACACGTCATTGTTTAAAGCAGTTACAAGCCCACTCAGTTTTAAGAGGAAGGTCTGCAGACCCTAGGCCTCAAAAGGAAGAGGATCAAAGAGTTTGCAGCCATGTTTCAAAACTGCCACAGACTCTAAGCGATCCTGATATAGTATCAGAAAGCAGATTTTGTGTATTTACTTAAACCTTGGGTACTTTATACATAATATGTATTGGCGAGGTGAGTAAGAAGATAAACTGTCATTTTAGACATTTGTGGCATGTGATAGGAATGTGCCTCTGAAATCTCTGTCCTGAGGGAGCACAATTAGCTGCAGAAGGGCAAATACACACTAAAAATAAAGAAGCTTAATCATCTCTTTTACAAATAAGCACCCTTATCTCTCAGTTTCTGCTGGGAGCAGGAGCCTAACTTCAATGGCCACCAGGCTCCAAATGGCAAGACTATCTCCTACATAAAGATCTGTGTTTATTTGTCCTTTGTTTAAAGTCTGTTAACTAACACAGATGGCCACCCCAATTTCCAGGTAAATTTAAGATAAACTATGCGTAATAAATAATGCTGCCAAGTCCTCTCTCTTGGGGATTAGTTATCACTTAACTTGAGAAAATGTATATATTGGGTCATATGCATATATTGGCTATATAAAAACGGGTGAGATCTCTTTCTGTCTTTGCAGTCTCTTAGTAGGTTGCCTGTAATGTATATCAGATTCTGGTTTAATATTTATTTAATAAGAAAACTATTTTCTTTCTCTATTACATTTGTGGAGAGACTTTCTGGGTTGGGAGGAGACTTTGTTTTTAATCGTATTTCCCCAACAGCTAACAAGCATGGCACCTATGCTATGAAATCTATCACCCCATTCACTTCCATGAGCCGCTTTCAGCCAAAGACAGAGAAGGGGGCAGATTCAATGGTCAGGCCTGCTCCTGGGAGACTCAGGACTCCTCTAATTTGCACCTTGGGCTTGATAACTCCCTACTGGACATCTTGAAATGTTCTCAGGACTGCACTGCTGCCTAAGACCTTCCTTCTTTCCCTCTCTCTCTCCTTCACAGGGGTCAAAGTTATATCCTAGTACAATAGCTCTGTTCACCTTTCGCTCTCTCCTTGCTTTCTCATATAGGCATTTATCCCAATGACTGCCTTGCTTCTCAGGAGATCCATGAAGACACCATATTTTAATGTTTCTAGCTTATAACTAAGGTGAATGAATAAAAAACATTTAAATCTTAAGGAAAAAAAGATGCAAAAAATATTTTAAAATCTCTATTTTGTATTTTAACAAATCAGAATTCAAATCCTAGTTGATAGCTTTACAAGGAAATTATAAACAGTGTCACAACAGCAGGTAATATAATATCTGCCTTGAAAATCACTAGCTGAAATTCTGAGAAAAATAAAGGTAGTTTTCGTTTTTCAAAGACAACTAGGACTTTGTCTGGGAGCACACTGGAGGCATTCCATTCTTTTCCAGTGTCAATCAACAGCACAGGATAAAGAAACATATTGAACACTAAAGCTTTGGATACACAAATTTATAACATCTTATTTATAAATCAGTGGTGTACAGAAAGCAGAGATCCCATAATCAAGCATGGCAAACATGTTGAAGAATATGCTTACAATGATTTCTGCTATAGATTTCATAATGGGGATTCAGAGAAGTAGAGTTATGGTGCTGGTTCACTGCATTGATTGGATCAGGCGCTGGAAACTCTCCCTGATAGATTTTATTCTCACCTGTTGGGCAATTTCCAGAATATTCTGCTGTAATTTTACATGTGGGCTTAAATGTAAACTGAGGAAATTTTGTACAATAAGAATGCAAGGATAAGTTTGACATCCCCTAATATCTATAATTTCATTCCTGCTCCTCTTTATTATATACTATTTGAGCAATACGATTATAAAGCGAAATTATTTTAATCTAGATAGCATTGTGGCACAGATTTTTGCTCTTGAGTTAGCATTTTTCTATCTATTCAGTCATTCATTTTTTTCTGATTTTATGGAACAGCAAACTGAAACAGGCTTCTCTCTGTGTCCTGAGGAACCTTCGGTGTTACATGAATATAAGGAAATCTAAATCCTCATAAACACACCTGAATTGATTGGTAATTCTCTCAAAAATGAAGACAACAAATAACTCAGCACACATCCCTTTCATTTAATCCAACTTCTTTTATTATGTTTGGTGATAGATCATTGAGCCTCATTGATGAAATTATCTGCCTGAAATAAGTTAAAAGAAAGTGATTTCACTGTTTCCATCAGAATTGCAACTATATAATCAATGGCAAAATTAAAATTATAGTATTATATAATAGTAACAATAAAATTAGATGAATAATGCATTTTATGTTAAGCAAGCGATGACCATTTTAGCTTTATCTCATTTAGTTTACATTATGTTGATTTGATAAAAGCATACACAAATATACAATCGACAGACTGACGATACAACCTCTAGAATAAGAGAAAATATTTGAAAACTATTCATTTATCAAGGAATTCATATCCAGACTATAGAAGGAACTCAGTCAAAAACACAAATAATTAGATTAAAACATGGGCAAATTAACTGTATAGATATCTCTCAAAAGAAGACATACAAATGGCCAATAGGTATATAAAAAGGTGCTCAATATAACTAATCATCAGAGAAATGCAAATAAAAACCTCAATGAGATATTATTTTATTCTAGTTATAATGGCTATTTTCAAAAAGACAAAAAAACACAAATGCTTGTGAGGATGTGGAGGAGGAAGTTTTACACACTGTTGGTACAAATATAAATTAGTTTAGTCATTATGGAGAACAGAATGGAAGTTCTTAAAAACTAAAAATATAACTACCATATGATTCAGCAATCCCACCACTGGGTATGTATCCAAAGGAAAGGAAATCAATATGTCGAAGTGATATCTGCACTCCCATGTGTTTTGCAACACCATTCATAATAGCCGAGACATGAAATCAACCTAAGTGTCCATTAACATTTGAATGGATTAGAAAACATGATATATACACATAATGAATGGAATACTATTTAGCCATTAAAAGAAGGAAATTTGGTCATTTATGGAAGCATCCATGAGACTGGAGAACATCTGTTAAGTGAAATAAGCCAGATACAGAAAGACAAACATGACATGTTCACACATATGTGGAAGCTAATAAAGTTGATTCCGTAGAAGTAGGAAGCAGAATAATGGTTCCTAGAGATGTGATAGGGGAGAAGGGAGAGGGAGATAGCCAAAGGTTGGTTAATGAATACAAAAGTATAGCCAGGTAGAAGGAACAAGTTCTAGTGTTCTATAGCACAGTAGGGTGACTACAATTACAACAATTTATTGTATATTTTACAAGAGCTAGAAAAACAAATTTTGAATGTGCCCAACACGAAGAAATGTTAAATATTTGAGAAACGGATATGCTAATTGCCTTGATTTGATCATTACACATTGTATAAATGTATTCACATATCACACTGTATCACATAAATATGTACAATTATTGCGTTTATTAAAAATAATAAAATAATGCAAAAAAAGAAGCAATCCAAGTAACAAAAACCAGACAAGCTAAAATACAGAGAAGTAGAGGACAAAACACAGTACAATGTGTGTATAAATAGATGTGTCTGTGTGTATTTGTATACATGTATATGTTTATGTATATGTAGCCATATATGTACCTATATCTGTGTATATGGATATACACATAACAGATCATCCTAAGTATATTCATGACTTTTTAAGCATTTTCCCCTCAAGACAATGTAACCTTAACAAAGTTCTGTGGAAATATTTGAAGACTCTTATATCTCAAAAAAAACATTTTTTTTTTCGTGGCTCACTACAGCCTCAACCTCCCTGGGCTCAGGTGATCCTCCCACCTCCACCTCCTGTGTATCTGGGATCAGAGGCGTGTGCCAACACACCTAACCTAGCTAATTTTTGTATTTTTGGTAGAGTCGGGGTTTTGCTACGTTGCCCAAGCTGGTCTCAAACTCCTGGGCCCAAGCAATCCGCCTGCCTCAGCCTCCCAAAGTGCTAGAATCTTGTTTTTGAGGAAACAAAAGAAGTTCACTTTTTCCATGTTTAGTTTGGGGTGCTTATGTTTCACTGAAAGACATCATTTTTAAAAATGTGTTTAAAATGCTACTGACAGATTATTTGAAAGGCCTGCATCTTTATAGTGGGGGGTGGGGAGCGGTGGGGGAAGTTTTCCTGATAATTATGATACTCATATTAGATTCATATATTGCCCACCAAGTTTCTTGAAAATTTCAAGCTCTGTATTTTACTTTGTAATGTAGCAATCTACACTGTGACTGCATTATAATTAATTAGCATAAGGATTGCTGGTTTTCCCTACATGTTGAATAATTTTAATGTGGTGAAAGGTTTCTGTTTCAAACTTCAGATTTGTAAATCAAATGAAACACTTCATTGGAAGAGGAGAACTAATTTTATTCAAAACAATGAAAATTAGTCTGTGTCTTTATTTACATGTTAGCAAATGATAATTTGGTTTGTCAATCATCTTTCTTTTTTTTTAATTTTGTTTTTATTTTTTTATTTTTATTTAATTTTTTAAATTATACTTTAAGTTTTAGGGTACATGTGCACATTGTGCAGGTTAGTTACATATGTATACATGTGCCATGCTGGTGCACTGCACCCACTAACTCGTCATCTAGCATTAGGTATATCTCCCGATGCTATCCCTCCCCCTCCCCCCACCCCACAACAGTCCCCAGAGTGTGATCATCTTTCTATAAAGAAATTTACAGTTTGTAGCTGACAGCTGGACCAAGACTGGAAATTCTTAGCAGAGGTAGTTAGAAATTTTCAATGAATGTTACAGAGAGTGATTTCACTGTCTTACTGCAGTTTGCTAAACTTTATAGCTAAAAAGAAAAGCCATGATAAAATAAAAACACTGCACAATCAAACATAAGATCTATGTTATTATCCAGTAAGTCATCTGAAAATTAGTCACACAACAAACTGCAGATCAGAATTTTCGCTTTGTAGCCATGTTGAATATATTGGAGGTTTTCATGACTGTAATAGGTAGGGGATTTATAAAAGGAATGTAGGAAATTAATTCATTGGACTCACAGATTGCATTGCCTGGATGAGAAATCAGAAGTTATGCATGGTTGGCTTCATTCTTACTAGTTTGGCCTTAGCCAGAATCAATATTCTTCTATTAGAAAATCCCTGATGCTAGGGAAAGAAACCATATCCTTACCATTGTCCGGAGACTGGCCAACCACTTGTGCACTTGATTTGCTACTTGTCTTGCTGTCTTTTATTTCCTAAAGATCGTCAATTTCTCCTATCTCTTTTACTTTTGGCTAAAATGGAGAATTAACAAGGTAGCTTTCATACTTCCACTGGTATCTGCCTTTTCTGTTTACCAACTTTCCTTTGACGTACACTTTTGATGTCTTCTGGTATCGTGTCCAAAAAAATATGAAAGACATATGACTGGATTACTCAATGTAAGTAATAATAAAAATGTTAATAATATAATAATCTTCTTTATTGGATCTCTCTCTTCTTTCTCTATTTCTTCGATTTTCTTTTTGTTGTTACTCCTTTCTTCGTGAAGACACATGAAACACATTAGGTTCAATTTCAGGGATTGCAGAACCCCAGTATACGGGCCCATTTCAGAGCCAAGAAAACGGTTTTCCTTTTTTGTCTTGTTGCTCTATAAAAATTTGCCCTTTTCTTGACATTTACAGGGGTATTTTTTGCTACAGAACAAACTGGTTGTGATATCTGGTTTATGATATGAAGTCAGTATTCTTTGGGTCACTCATATGTTGTGATTTTTGGATACGGCCAAATGAAGAAAACTTTCTTGGGGATTCTCTGGCACCTGAAATGTGGCCTGAAAGGACGGGCACTCTTAGCTACACAGGTAGGCCTCAGAGAGAAGTCAACAAGAAGTCTTGGTGTAATCTTTCTTGCTTCATCGTACTCTTTTTTTGTATATGTCCTGTGTCACTGAGTAAGTACCATTTAAATTCTTCCTGGGCCTGGCCGGGTGCGGGCTCAGGCCTGTAATCCCAGCACTTTGGGAGGCCGAGGTGGGCGGATAACGAGGTCAGAAGATCGAGACCATCCTGGCTAGCACGGTGAAACCCCGTCTCTACTAAAAATACAAAAAATTAGCCAGGCGTGGTGGCGGGTGCCCATAGTTCCAGCTACTGGGGAGGCTGAGGCAGGAGAATGGCGTGAACTCAGGAGGTGTAGCTTGCAGTGAGCCGAGATCGCGCCACTGCATTCCAGCCTGGGCGACAGAGAGAGACTCTGTCTCAAAAATAAATAAATAAATAAATAAATAAATAAATAAATAAATAAATAAATAAATAAAATAAAATAAATAAATTCTTCCTGGGCCAGGACTGACCTCTAAAATAGTTTTTAAAATATTTTAAAGAGAAAATAATCACCTATATATAAAAAAGAGGTGTGAATAAGTTGTAATCCACTCATTCAGATCTACAGAAGGTGGATGTTAGAAATTTAACAGAAGTAAGCAAAATAGAATGAAAACCACTTATTTCCTCTAGGTAACAATCTTGTCTCTGTAATAATATGGATTTAGCCAGTTACTTTATGTTTTTTGTTTGTTGTTTGTTTGTTTTGAGATGGAGTCTCACTCTGTCGCCCAGGCTGAAATGCAGTGGCACCATTGTTTTTGTGAATATTTTTGCTGCTGATGTAACTGCAGAAATTAGTCTAGAACTTGTGGAAGTTGTTAAAACCCTTTCATAAGAGCCCAGTTACTATTGCACAATCTAAGGCATGTAGAGTTAACATACCTAGAATGCACATCAAAATGGTCATTAATCTCATTCATGAGAGGTCTGCCCTCATTACCTCCTAAAGGAACCATCTCTTAATACTGGCACACTGGCAATTAAGTTTCAACATATAGACTTTGGAGGAGACACATGCAGATCACAGCAAAGGGGTTTTTAAATCTTTGCTATGCCTATCACTTGCTTTAGTTCTGTTAATTTTGCTTTATTTATTTTGAGTCACAATTATTAGTCTGATACACCTTCAGGATTGTTAAGTATTTTTGATAAATTGAATATTTTATCATTATACAACTTCCCTCTATTTTTCTACTACTTGTCTTGATAATATAGCCACTTTGAGAATAGAACCAGTCCTGCTTTCTATGGTTACAAATTCCATAGTATAGCTTTTTCTTTCCTTTACATTCAATCTATCTGTGCCTTTATGTTTAATGTTTTATCTTCTAGGCATAACATTTAATTGTGCTTTCATTTATTCATTCTGATGATCTCTATCTTTTCATCAGAGTGTTTAGTCAAATCATGTTTAATGTAATTATCAGTATGGTTGGCTGTAAGTCTTGCATTTTGCTCAATGTTTTTCATTTATCTCACTTATTTTTGTCCCTCTGTCCTTTTTCTGGCTTTCTTTTGTGTTAATTGACTGTATCTTCAATTATTTCATTTTAATCTCACAATTGGCTTTTAAAACTCCATTTGTTATAATGAATTATTCTTTTATATATCGCTGGACTCTATTTTGTTTGGAATTTTTGCATCTATGTTCAGGCTATATTAGCCTGTAATAGTCTTATAAGTATTCTTGATGAAATTTTGTATAAAGTTGTTCACAGTATTGTCTTATAATAAAAGATTATATACAAGGATATGTAACTATATTATATAGTATTATATATATATATATATGTATATGTATATATATATATGTATATATATGTATGTATAGAGAGAGAGAGAGAGAGACAGAGAAAGAGAGAGAGAGAGATGAGGTCTCACTCTGTCACCCAGGCTGGAGTGCAGTGGCCCAATTATAGCTCACTGCAAGTTCAAACTCCTGGGCTCAGGCAATCCTCCTGCTCGGCCTCCCAAGTAGCTGGGACTACAGGTGCACACCACCATGCCCTGCTAAATTATTTTTATTTATTTATTTTTTTTAGTAGAGATAAGGTCTTGCTATGTTTCCCAGGCTGGTCTCAAACTCCTGGACTCAAGTGATTCTCACACCTGGGCCTCCCAAAGTGCTGAAATGACAGGCATTAGCTACCACACCCAGGCCATATTTCTGATATCTCTAAGGACTGTAGTAATTTGTATTTTCTTTTGACCAACATTAGTATATTACTGTACCTAATTCTTTTCTATCGGTGATTTCTGCTGTTACTATAATTTCTTGACTTCTATTTTCTTTCACTCTTAGCTTTCTAGCTTCTTGAGATGAAAACAAAATTCATCTGTTTTTACCCTGCCTTTCTAAAAGATGCATTCAAGGCTACAAATTTCCTTCAAAGAATGGCTTTAATTGGATTATGTAAATTTTAATAGGTCATTTCTTTATTACACGTTGAGTATCCCTAATCCAAAAATCTGAAATTTGAAATGCTCCAAAATCTGAAACTCTTTGAGCGCTGACATGACGCTCAAAGGATATGCTCATTGGAACATTTTGGATTTCAAATTTTTGAATTCGAGATGCTTAATCAGTATGATGCAAATGTTCCAAAACTTAAAAAAAAAGAAAAAAAAATCCGAAATCCAAAGCTCTCTGGTCTCACACATTTCAGATAAGGGATACACAACCTGTATTATTTACTTAAAAATATTTTTGTAATTTTTGTTATTTCTTCTTTGACTCAAGAGTATTTACAGGTTTTTTGTCTTAGTAAATTGTTTCTTTCTCTAGTTATCTTTTTATTATTGAACTTCATTTTATTCCTTTGAATTCAGAGAACATTCAACACTTGTGAGATATTCTTTTGGATTCATGATCAGTCTTGGTAAAAATAGTCTATGTGCACTTGAAAAGAATATGAATTATTTTACCGTTGAACACAAGTTTGTCAATTGTTTTTTCATGTATTTTCCATCTATTGATTTTTGGTGTTTCTAAGATGAGTTATTGAGTTATGTATTTTACAGTCTTTCATTGTGATTGTAGATTTGTCTTATTTTTCCTTTTCTGTAAATGTTTGGTAGATTATTTGGTTCATAAATTTTTGGGATTACCCTACCTTTCTGTAGATTTGAGCATTTTTATCACTATAAAGTACACTCCCCATTTCTTCTCTAATGCTGCTTCTTACCTTAAAGTCTGCTTTATAGAATATTGTTATAATTATGCCAGATTTCTTTTGGATGATGTTTGCATGGCTTATTTTTCCATAATTTTACTTTAAAGTTTTCCTTTTCTATATTTAAATTGTGTTTCTTGTAAGCAGTATACAGTCAGAGTTTTAAATTCTTCTTTGTTACTATTAATTTTTTACTTGGAGTATTTAGTTCATTTACATTTTATATAATTATATTCTCCATTTCTAGAAGTTTTTTCCCCAAATGTTCCAATTTCTTTCTAACAGTCTCTTGCTGCTCTTCTCTGAAATTGCATCTTGTTTTTTGTAAACAGTGTATACATTAGCTAATTTATCTATACATATTCTTATCTGTCAATTTCAGTATGTGCAGCCCATGAGAATTTAAGTTTTCTACTTGCTTTTGGTTGGTTTGTTTTGTTTTGCTATCATTTGTAGTCTATTCCTAAGCTTAATTTAACTTCATTTTGAAATCATTGTGCAATTTTATTTATGGTAGTCATGCCAGGATAAGTGAGAGAAGGTCTTCTTTTCTCCAAAGCTTAGTTTATTCATATTTAATGTAAATACAAAAATAGCCCCTCTTTTAAAGGATTGAAGGCTTGTGAAATTAAGATGAGAAAAAGATACTTAACATAGCGCTAGGAATATAATAAAAGCTCAATAAATGTTAGATTTCACTTTTAATTTCACTTTTAATTCTTAGATCAGTATGTTGATTTACTTAATTGTTTCCCACCTCCCTCATTAGAATATACACTCCATAAATCACACAAGTTTTGAAATTCTGTCTACCACTATATTCCCTCAAAGATCAAAAGAGAGCTTGTTGTATCTAGACATTCAGTAAATACTTGTTGGATAAATGAATGGGTGCCAGCAAACAGTAATGTGTTAAATGAAGAGATTATTCCTAAGAGCCTTTCATGTCAAGGGTAGTCAACATAATCTTCTGCATTCAAGGGTGTAATAACCATAAGTATAAAACAACAGCAACAGATTTGTGACATATTTGTGAAACTTGTCATACCTAGAGTTGAGCTTAAATTTTAATTAAAAATTAAATCGATCATTTAGAGTAAGTATCTACAGTGGCTAAATTTGTTTTTCATTTCTATATAGTATTTTCTGTACATATATAAATTGATTATAAATGACATAAATAATGATTTGATATTTTAAAAGATAAAGTCAAAATTTTTGTTTCTGTTTTGCATTACATTCTATAGGTATATGTTTGGCACTCCTCCTCCACAATTCAATTTATTAAATGCAAAATAGTCTCAGGAGGACATGTAAAATCCATGAAACAGAAACTTTCATTTGCATTTTAACAAATTATAGATAGGCATTCAGTCTGAACATACATTCTCCAGACTAGCTATGTTTTGTAGACATATTTGGAAAGGTCTTCATTAAGAAATTTCTGATTCCATCTCAAGCCATTACTGGGGCAATTTCAAGTCTTTATATAATGAAAGAGAAGAAAGTCACACTTCCGTCGAGCAGCCAATATATGCCTCATTCTGCAGCAGGTAATCTAAGATAGATGTAACAGAAGCAATATTAAGAATTAGCAGATATGCTACGTGTAGTGGAAGGCATCTTCATTTTTGTTGTAGTTAGTGAGTCAGTGTTTGGGGTTTTGGGGAATGGATTTATTGGACTTGTAAACTGCATTGACTGTGCCAAGAATAAGTTATCTACGATTGGCTTTATTCTCACCGGCTTAGCTATTTCAAGAATTTTTCTGATATGGATAATAATTACAGATGGATTTATACAGATATTCTCTCCAAATATATATGCCTCCGGTAACCTAATTGAATATATTAGTTACTTTTGGGTAATTGGTAATCAATCAAGTATGTGGTTTGCCACCAGCCTCAGCATCTTCTATTTCCTGAAGATAGCAAATTTTTCCAACTACATATTTCTCTGGTTGAAGAGCAGAACAAATATGGTTCTTCCCTTCATGATAGTATTCTTACTTATTTCATCGTTACTTAATTTTGCATACATTGCGAAGATTCTTAATGATTATAAAACGAAGAATGACACAGTCTGGGATCTCAACATGTATAAAAGTGAATACTTTATTAAACAGATTTTGCTAAATCTGGGAGTCATTTTCTTCTTTACACTATCCCTAATTACATGTATTTTTTTAATCATTTCCCTTTGGAGACACAACAGGCAGATGCAATCGAATGTGACAGGATTGAGAGACTCCAACACAGAAGCTCATGTGAAGGCAATGAAAGTTTTGATATCTTTCATCATCCTCTTTATCTTGTATTTTATAGGCATGGCCATAGAAATATCATGTTTTACTGTGCGAGAAAACAAACTGCTGCTTATGTTTGGAATGACAACCACAGCCATCTATCCCTGGGGTCACTCATTTATCTTAATTCTAGGAAACAGCAAGCTAAAGCAAGCCTCTTTGAGGGTACTGCAGCAATTGAAGTGCTGTGAGAAAAGGAAAAATCTCAGAGTCACATAGACACCTTGGGAAGAGATGGATGTTCCACGAAAGGAATCCAGTGAATAAATCCTTGAAGATCTGTTTCATTGCACTGCATTCTTGCATTGTCTTTTTAACTGTGTCATTAAAGATCACTGAAATCTTCCATAATTGTTTTGACTATGTTTCAGGGAATCTCAGTCTTTGAGGAGATTTTAATCTCACATGCAAATTCAGTGGCTTAGTCAGCTTCCCCACCCTGCAACTTCTTCCTACAAACTTCCTAGAGGAAGACCATCAGCCTGGAGACTATTCGCTGTAAAGATTATAACGGTGAGAATAAGCTCTAAAATAAAACTTCTTGTTGTGCTTTACCTGACTTTTCTGAAGCAAGGACACCCATTCTCCCAGAAAACCCAAAGGAAAAAAAAGAAAGAAAGAAAATTAGATCAATCTTGACATTTAGAACATGGAAGTGAGGATAGATGGTGGTACTTCTTTACAGAATGCTATTTTAATTATTTAAAGGTTTTTTTTTCATTTTTTAGAATCTAACATCCTTTTTTACTGGTGTACGATGTGTAGCAAGTAGTCAGAGGAGTAGATGTAGTTCTGTGAAATATAGTTAGGGAAACAAGGGTCTAGTTGAGGGATATGGGATCAAAACACTGATGAAATAAATATGCTCTTCAAAATCAGTGATTTGAGATAAGGCAGGTTATGAACCAATTAAAGTTGAGTAAAGATTTTTCTAGAAGCATCGATCCAAAGGCTGCAAGATTCAACACAGTCCCTGACCAAAGGACACAAGATGAACACAGGATAGAATCTGGGTGAAATATGAAATGTTCTGTCTTCAGGCTTCATACACACACACACATAAACATGCACACACACACATTCATATACACAAACTTGCACTCACAGAAACGTTTCAAATTTTGAGTTTTAAAGTTAACTTTTATGTCCAACCCAGGTTATAAACTCAGTGACTTATTTTGGCAACTTCCGAAAGTGCCTTGATCTCATACTTATGGCCTAATGAGTGGAATATTTCCAAATATAAGGACTTAATTAATTTTCTATGTCAGGTTTCCAAATCAATATTTTTATATTTTTAAACTATTGTGTTTAGAATGTACAGATAGTTAAGAGATAACAGAAAAAAAAACCTAATGCTGCTGCCTATTTCAACCAAATATACCAGGTTGGCTCATTTGAAATTATATTGTATAAAGAACTATGTTCTCTGTATAGATTATGTTGATTATGTAGAATTTATTCATTTTCCCATGTTTTCAAAAATTATTTGTAATAATCTTTTTAAGGGGTACATAATAACTCCCCTTGCAAATATACAATAATATACTTAGTGTTTATCATATCGTTTACGTTTAAGTTGTCTTCAGTTTTCCACTTTTAGAAATAAACATAATATGAGTATTATAGAGAGTGAATACTATTCATTCATATGAATACTATTTGAATGCTAACTTGGCTAGGTATTGAGGATATAGTAGTGAACAACATACCAATATAATGGATAATATATTCTAATAGAAAACAAATGAATAGCTAGCTAACTTAAACAATGATATTTATGATATTGGGAGAGAAAAACTATAGGATGCTGACCTGACCTGGTCATGAGAATGGACAAGATGTCACTGTGGTTAAGATGGTTTAATTTGATATCTTAATAATGTGTAGGAGTATGGTGGACAAAAGAGGAGAAATTTGGGGTGGGAAACCATCATGTCAAGGCCTTGAAGCAAGAAGGAGTAGAGGGTAGTCCAGAAACTAAAGGTCCAGTGTGACTAATATATAGAGACAGCAGTATGTAAATTATTTTTAAGGAAAATTCCAATGGGGAGAAACTTGATAAATTCCTTGCAGAATTGATAAATTGCTCTGTAGATATAATAAACCTATATGTTAATAGTGAAAAAATATCCGTCCTGTTGCAGTCTCAAAATCAAACAGGTTATTATTTTTAATGTCACTACTTTGATTGCAAAAATATCTTTACTTCACATATATTTGATTACTAGTGAAGTTAAGCATTACTACGGGATTAACCAATAGCATATACTTTTTGGGAATTGTTCATTTGTTTTCTCCTTATTTTTTCATGTCTTATAGTTTTTCTTACCAATTTTGTGACTAGTTTATACATTAACACTATGCCATATATGTGTTATGATTTTTTCTTAATTTGCTGTTTAGTAAGTAACTAGTTTGTAATGTTTGGGGCAATAGGTGGGTAATTTACATGATCTCATATTGATTTATGTTTTCTTCTGCTATTTTTGCCAATATTAGCTTATTTTTACTGATACCTGTTCCTTTCATCAAAAGCTCCATTTTGTACTATAAAATACAGTTTCATCTAAAATTAGCAAACACAAAAATATATAAAGAAGAAATTGATTATGCACATTTGCAGTACTCAACTAACCATTGTTAACATGTTTCTACATACGTTGTAAAATAGATCTCAACATAGATAGATGACAGATAATAAGCATGTTACTTAAAAAATCTGTTTTGATTAGATTTATACATAAACTGGATGTCTAGGTTCTTTACCTGTAGATATTGGGATTATAGATAATTTTTATTTTCTTGTAGTATTATGTAATTTTCTATGCAATAATTTATGTCATATGAAAAATATAATTAAATAAAAGATGAGGCCTGTGAAAAAATATCTGTTTAGTCATACTTGCTTTGAGAAACAAGGGAAAGAGAAAGAACCTTCCTTAGCATTTGCACAGACTGCAGAAGCTCTAATTCTGATATCTGCTGCCTTTGTAGCTCTGATTACTAACTTTGTTGTTTGTACTAACTTTCAATTATATTGGTTTGGTCCTCACATGTTTTATGATTTTATTTTGAACTCAGTTTTATTAGAATATTATCTGTGGGAATTCTTTGAGATCAGGTTTACAGTGACGTCTGCCAGAAAAAGTTTGACTTTGTAAAGGCTGACTGGGATCACTTCCAGTATCAACTTCTTTAAGCTAAACTTTTCAGTTTGTAATGATTTAGGCTATGTAGAATTCAACTTCTAGCCCCAAATATACATGAGTGAAAGGCTATTATAACAAATTCTTAGAGCAACATTCCTCTTTCATTCCCCTTTACATTCCCCTTTCAATTCACTGCCCTGGCTGAGTGTTAAGTATTCCTACTTTAGCCTTTTGTTGGACGTATATTATTTTCTCATTTGCCTATTAAGGGTTTGCCTTTCAGGGATCTTGGCTTGTTGATAGTATCCAATCTCACTTCTAACTTTGGAGAAGTCCAAACCAGGTATCTTATCCAACATGCATATGGTCTTTTAAAACATAAGCACTGGTTTATGAATGGATGAAGAAAATGCTGTATATGTACACAATGGAATACTGTTTAGCCATAACAGTTTTTTTTAAAAAATGAAATGTCATTTGCTACAACATGGATGGAAAGGAAGACATTATGGTACCTGAAATAAGCCAGAAACAAAAAGTTAAGCGCCACATATTCTCGCTCATATAAGGAAACTAAAAAAAGAAGATCTCATAGAAGTAAAAAGAAGAGCAGAGTATACCAGAGGCTGGGAAGGATAGGGGTTTGTAAAAGTATACAAAATACAGCTAGATAGGAGGAATACGTTCTAGTGTTTTATAGGACTATAGGATGACTATAGCTAACAATAATACATAGTTTTAAATACCAGGAAGGAGGATTTTAATATTCCCAACAAAGAAATGATAAACGTTTAAGATGATAGATCTTCTTATTAACCTATTGAATCACTATACATTGTATGTTTCAAAACATCACTATGTACCTGATAAATGTGTACAGTAATTATTATATAACGTAGGAAAATAGCCTATTGCGTAGAAAGAGTGATGCCATCCTGAAGCGAAACTACCACAACGACTGATGTTTAACTCCTGCATGCCAATGTGTTCTGCAGCAAGTTCTTTAAATAATTCCTGTGACATAGAGAGCCCCTCATAAAGATGCTTATCTAACCTTCTTAATGGTCATAAGTTTTAGCAAGAGAGCCTGAGGTATGAAGAGCTGCACATGTTTTACCCAAAAAGCTTAATATATAAAGGATATTTTCTGGAGGGCGGCTGTGGGGATCCAATATCTTGCGGCCACCCAAGACATTGCCTCTGTTTATAAGTTCCTATTAAATATTGCTTTCTTTTAAAAAAGATTGTGTGTGTATATATATGTATAAGATATATATGTATAAGATATATATATGTATAAGATATATATATGTATAAGATAGATATATATATGTATAAGATATATATATCTTTTGCAGCAACTTGGATAGACCTGGAGGCCATTATTCTAAGTGAAGTAACACACATGGCTGGAAAACCAAAACTGTATGTTTCAGTTATAAGCGGGAGCTAAGCTATGAGTGTACAAAGACATACAGAGTGATATCATGGTCTTTAGAGACTCAAAAGGGGGAGGCTGGAAGGGAGGATAGGGATAAAAAAGCTACATATTAGGTACAATTTACACTACTCAGGTGATGGGTGCACTAAAATCTCAGAATTCACCACTATATAACTCATCCACGTGACAAAAAAACACTTGTACCCAAAAAGTTGTTGAAGTAAAAATTATAAATAAATCAATAAATATTTCTTTTTGAGAAACTGGAATTGTTAGACTCTTTCTTTGGCCTCTCAGCTCCCTCAGCCTTTAGGGATAGTTTTGCATATACCTTTTCACTGCGGAACATCAATTTAAAAACATAACAAAATTAAAAAATACTTACACACTGGTTTAAAGGAGAGTGACAATGCCGTCTCCTCGATAAACTCCTCTATCCAACTCCAAGATAGTTAGTTAGGGACTAACTCTATCTTCAGCACTGTTTCCTCTCATGATTTGCACTTTCCTACTATTTTTGGCATCTGAGGATTCTTTTTTAACTCTCTTGACAGCTGGACCATACACTTTAAAAATATTTCTGAAGGCTTCTTTTTCAGTATCTTTATGTTTTCCTGACTGGAAGGATTTTTCCAGACATCTGGTTTTTCATATATTTTTATACAGATTTTTTTAATTTATAAAAATAATTTTAACTTCTATTTTAGATTAAGGGGTACAGGTGCAGGTTTGTTAGTAGGTTATATTCCTTGATGCTGAGGTTTGGGGTATAATTGAACCCATCACCCAGGTAGTGAGCATGGTACTCAATAGGTAGTTTGACAGTCCTTGCCCCCTGACCCCTGCCATCCCTCCCTCTCCACTTAGTCGCCAGTGTCTATTGTTCCCATTTTTACGTCTGTGTGAACCAATGTTTAGCTCCCGCTTATAAGCAAGAGCACGTGATAGTTGGTTTTCGGTTTCTGTGTTAATTTGCTTAGGATAATGGTTTGCCATACTTTTGAAGGCAAAAGTTGTTTGTTTCACTAGCTTTGTCCAATCTTTCTTTTTTTTTTTAGTAAAGGTATTCAAAATTGTATGTTTTCTGCCCAAATATCAACTTATATGTATTCCACAAATGTTGGCACATGGTTCTTATATTGTATTCAATTCAAATAATTTCAAAATATTCTTTACACTTTCCTTTTAATGCAAGAGATATTTAACAATAATGAGATTTTTAAAGGTAACTTTTGTATTGATATCTTATTTTATTTGAGTCAGACAGCATATGTGTATGATATTTGGCCTAGGATAAGATTCATTTGGCCCAATACATGATCCATTTTTGTGAATGATTTTCTTTAAATGAGTTTGATGTGTTAAAGTTAAATGTATATGCATTAGATGAACAATATTAATGATATTACTTGTTTACGTCTTTAATATATGACAATTTCCAATAGTTAAATTAGTAAACCTACACTTACAATTACTGATTTATTTCTTTATGCTCATAATTATTTTATTTGTAGTTGCATTTAATTTGAAGCAATGTTGATAATTGCATTTTTATTCATGGTCATTACTTTTTTATGGTTATTTTTACTGATATTAAAAAAGTTTGCCATGAAAATTTTTGCTTTAAATTTTATTTCACCCTTGGTAAATTCCCTAATTTTGTTACATTTTATTTTATTTTATTTTGATACATAATATTTGTTCAACTTTGTAAGGTATATGTGATATTTTGTTTCATGTATATAATGTGTAATAAAAGTCAAGATATTTAGGATCCATCACTTCAAGCATTTATCATTTCTAAATTGTGTGTTTTCCACCTCTGCATTTTCAACACTTCTGCATTTTATTTTTAAATGTCTCTTGTAGAAAACAAATATTTCATTTTTGACACTTTATTTAATAATGTAATCTCAAAATTACTATTGAGAAACATTTTTACACTCAATACAATTGTGATTGCATTGTTTTCTATCTTCTCATTTCTTCTTTTTACTCTATTTTAATGCTTTATTGCAGATCTTTTTCCTTTCCTGTTTCTATTGATATCAAATTTTCATGTGCTGGGTTTAAAATTGGTATCTTTATGTTCATTTCATATAAAATTAAAAGTTTAACCTGTTCTTATCTAATGACAGTCATTTCCATGCTGCATGTTTTTATGGTCTGGAATATTAATTTTTTAATTTACACATTTATTTTGTTTTAATTTTATTGTGATAACATTTATATAACAAATTTGTCATTTTAACCATTTTAAGTGTACAATTCTGTGGCACTAACTACATTCACAATGTTGTGCAAGCATCACCTCTGTGTCCAAAACTTTTACATTACCACAGATAGAAACTCTGGACTCATTAGGCAGTAACTCCCTATTTTTCCTTTCCCACAGTTCCTGGTGACCTCTGATCTCCTCTTTGGCTTTATGAATTGGCCTAGTCTAGGCAATTCATATGAGTAGAATCACACAGATTTTCTCATTTTATGTCTGGTTTAGTTTACTAAGCATGTTTTTAAGGCTCACCAATATTTTAACATGTATCAGACCATCATTCTTTTGTATGACTGAATAATATTTTATTGTATGTATACACCACAATTTGTTTAGATATTCATCAGTTGAAAAACACTTGGGTGATTTCTACCTTTGGGCTATTGTGAATTATGCTGCAATATACACTGGCACATAAGTATCTGTTTGAGTTCCTGTTTTCAATGTATACTAGGAGTGAAATTACTGGATAATACAGCAATTCCTATGCTTAGCTTCTTGTGGAGTCACCAAACTGTTTTCCACAGTAGATTTATCGTTGTACATTCCCACCAAGAATGTACGAGAGTTCCAAATTTTCCACATCCTTGCCCACCCTTGTTATTTTCCAGGATTTTTACTATAGCCATTCTAGTGGATGTGAAGTAATACGTGACTGTGGTTTTGGTTTGCATTTCCCCAATGACTAATGATGCTTAGCGTCTTTTTATGTGTTTACTAGACATTTGTAAATCAATGGAGAAATGTCCGTTGAGATCTTTTGCCCAATTTAAAATTGGATTTTTTGTTGGGTTGTAGAGGTTCTTTACATATTCTGAATTTTAAGCCCTTCGCAGATATATGATCTGCAAATATTTTCTCCCAGTCTATACATCGTCTTTTCACTTTCTTGGAGTGGCTTGTGATACACAAAAGTTTTATTTTGCGTGAAGTCCAATTTAAGTATTTTTTCTTTTGTGGCTTACTTTTTTCATGTCATATGTAAGAATCCATTGCCAAATCCAAGGTCATAAAGATTACCACTAAATTTTCTTCTAGGTGTATTTAGTTTTAGTTGTTATATTTAGGTCATTGATCCATATTGAGCTAAGTTTTGTATATGACGTGAGTTAGGGGTCCAACTTCATTCTCTTGCATGTGGATATCTAATTGTCCTAGCATCATTTGTCAAAAAGACTCTTTATGCCCTAATGAATTTTTACACACTTGTCAAAATCAATTAGTCATAGATATATGGGCTTACTTCAAGACTCTCAATTCCATTACATTGATCTATATGTCTATCCTTATGCCAATAAAACACAGTCTTGATTACCATAGCTTTGTAGTAAGTTTTATACTTGATCTTAGCCAAAAGGCTGAGAAGTAATGTAGTGAATTTTTAAAATATTAAGTGTGAGCCTTCCAACTTTGTTCTCCATTTTTAAGATTGTTTTGGAAATTCAAGGTTTCTTGTAATTTCTTATGGATTTGAGGATCAATTTTTCTGTTTCTGAAAAAAAAAGTCTGTGAGAATTTTTAATAAGGATTTGAATGAATCTGTAGATTTCTTTGGCACCTCCTCTTTCTGTCTGTAGAGCAAAAGCAGATGAAAAATTAGGAGTATCTGACTTGAGGGTCCCAAGAGCCATATCTGAGGACAGGATGTAGTGAGCGGTCTTGGATGGAGAAGAGGCATAGTACCTCCCACCTGCCCTAAAGGACATGGAATTCCATGATGCCACTCTTTCCTGCTTCTGGGTCCCTGTAGTCTTAGAGCCAGAGCCCACAGAGCTGGGGGTGGTGGCATTGGGGCAGATCTGGATGCAGCCCAAGGTACAGCCAGGAGTGATTATGACTCCTAGAGAAGCTCCTAAGGTGGGGAACAGAATATGTCAAGGTGCAAAATTTCTCAGCATGTCATTAAAGGTTTTTGGTTGCAACAGAAATGAATGTAAGCAGGAAAGGAGGAAGGAGTTTTATAGTTAGGATGTTGAGCCATCTGTCCTAAAGTTAAGAGGAGTCCAATCATCTTTAGAAAGAGTCAGGACTCAGTCATGACTGAGATAGACCCGAAGACCTCAGACATGGGAAGGAGTGGGTGTTCTTTCTAGCTTATGCAGCCAATGTGACTCAGTTTCCACAACTGCCATTCTCTGTGTTTCCAAGGTCAAAATTCCAAATTCCTCACAGAGACTTATTTATTCATTCATTTGTTCATTAAATATTCATGTAGCCCCTACTGTGTGGTAGGCAGAATTCTAGACACTAAAGATACAGCACTGATCCAAGGAGACAAAAATACCTATTTTACATCTTACATTGCAGTGGGCACAGAATAAGATTGGCTCCACTTGGGTTAGGTATCCACCCCTAATTCAATCAGCTGTGGCTAGATGGAGTTCCTGAGCCAAAAGGCTTCTCCCAGTGGGTTCTACTACAATGAACAATTGTTGTTTAAGACACACATGGATTCTTGATTGTCAATTCAGAAAGCAGACAGTGGGTTTTAAAATAACAAGGCATAGTTGAGTTCATTCAGTCACCTTGAGAGCACCCATTTTTTCTAGGAGACTGGATGTTCTCAAGGAGCAGCCTGTCCATCTTGCATCCCCCAGGTTCTCCGGATTCTCCATTTCCAAGCAGAAGAAGCAGGACTGGAGCACCCTTCCATATCATCAGCCTTCTCCTCGCACCAGACCTTACTCACCAGGGCCTGGGACTGTGGGTTGGACTTCTCCCTCTTTTGCTATCTTCAGCTCCTGATCTGGCTAGCATCTTCTGTGAACAGGGACAAGCCTTGCTTCTTCTGCTATCTTCCATGGAAGAAGCCAGCCCAGGGCTCAGGGAAGACTTAATGAGGCATACAGGGAAAAAAAAAAAAAAATATATATATATATATATATATATATATATGTGTATATATATATATATGTATATATATATATGTATATATATATATATAAAATAAAAATATTAAATGTGAGTTTTCCAACTTTGTTCTCCTTTTTAAAGATTGTTTTGGGTATTCGGATTCCCTTGTAATTTCACCTGAATTTGAGCATTAGTTTTCCTCTTTCTGAAACGAAGTCTGTAGAAATTTTTGATAGGAATTTTAATGAATCTTTAGATTGCTTTGGGTAGTATTGATATCTTAACAGTATCAAGTCATCTTATCCATGAACATGGGATGTCTTTCTACTTACTTGTGTCTTCCTTAATGTCTTTCAGCAATGTTTCATCAATTTTTGTATATAAGTATTTTGCTTCTTTGGTGAAATTTATTCCTAGTTATTTCATTATTTTGGAATTGTTTTCTTAATTTACCTTTTATATTCACTGTTCAGATTGCTGGTGTGTAGAAACACAACACAGTTTTATGTGTTGATCTTCTACCTACAACTGGAGTTTTAAGATTTTTATAGTATACAAATGTTCTTTTCTTATTTTTAAAAAATTTTTTGACATCCTAAGCCTTACAAAATTTCTTATAAACTTTACTCCACATATTCATATAGGTATCTCCTCACCCCATTATAGTTTTTGTTAATGTAGCCTCCAAAATGTTGAAAAAAGTTCTATGTTTAGTAAACGTCTGAAACCTATATATCTGAGAATATTTTTACTTAACCTGAACATTTAGATGTGTTGTCAAATATAAATAAATAATTTATTGTGTTTAAGTTGAAATGCTGTTAAAATCATTTTATTTATGCCATTGCAGAGAGAAACAAAATAGTCACCTGTCCATTAATATTATGAGATGCACTGGGCATTAATATTGAATAAAGAAAAGAACTACATATGAAGGAAAAAAACAACTAAGTCCATTTAAGTTTGTTTACATTTTCAGTGAGTAATGGAAAACAAAACAAATTGTTAAACCATAACTATTATGTTGCCATATTTTATGATTTCATGTGACTGGCATTGTCTTAGTCCATTTTGCTGCTATAAAAAGTATCTGAGATGAGGTAGTTTATAAATAACAGAAATTTATTTTTTCATAGTGCTGAAGGCTAGAAAGTCCAAGACTAAGGCAGTGGCAGGTTTGGTGTCTGGTGAGGGCTTCGTCACTGCTTCCAACATGGAACCTTGAATGCTGTATCTTTTCATGGCAGAAGAGGGGAAAGGTTAAAAGACCTATTTAGTTCCCTTCAGGCCTTTTAATCCCATCATAATGGCAAACCCATCATAATCATCTCCTAAAAGGCCCCACCTCTTAATATTGTTGCATTAGGGATTACATTTCCACATGAATTTTGAAGAAAATACAAACATTCAAACTATGGCAATCATAAAATGTGAAATTTGGCCAAATATTATGGATAGGAAATTGTAATTAAGACACATTAATAAAGGCTCTATAGCAAAACAACTAGATAAGAGAATCGTGATTTATTGAATGGAATGCCAAAAAATTCAATAATAATAGTACCTAAAATTTTTTGAGTATATATGGTAAGAACTATTCTAAGTATTTTAAATGCAAGACTTTATTTAAGTATAATATTTCTATGAGATAGATAGCACTATGATCAATGTTTTACACATTGGAGAAAGAAAAGATTCAGCACAATTTAAATCACACAATCATTAAAACTGAGAATAAGCTTCAACTCCAGCTGTCTGGCACCAGAGCTGAAGCTCTTAACTGTTATATATATTTCAAGCCTTGTCCAAATTTTGTTATTTAGCAAATAAATTATTTGTCTCCATGGATCCCAAATATTCTATTTCTTCACCATTTTTATACAAATAGACAAGACTATTCCCAATATGCTATTATAATAAAGTGTTTTATGCTTGAATTATTGACTCTATATAGTTATCCATTAATTAAGACTGTTCCTCTTCTTAAAGAGACATGCATATTTCTCATTCATGTTATCCCTTCTCAACAGGGGTCTTTATATTGCTCTGTTTTCATGAGGTTCACATGTACCCCCATACATCTGTACAACTATTATATGTCCATAATTAAATTTTAAAAAAAGAAAAATACAACAAACAAGATTACTGAATGAATTTTTTTAAAAAATAGAAGATTATTTCATCCAACAAAAAGATAGGGGAACTTTAGCAAAAAGAATGGTGGTGAAATTTAGTATATTTAACTACTTAATTTCAGGTAGAAAGCAAAAATCAAGGAAGGAAGACTGGCTTATGATTGTGACAAGGAAAGGTAATATTTTGTATAGAGTGATGACAGGAGATAATGAACTGCTGTATGTCTTGTGAGGAATTAGACGGAGAATAATCTGGCCAGGCACAGTGACTCACACTTGTAATCTTAACATTTTGGGAGGCCAAGGCAGGAGGATCACTAGAGGCCAGGAGTTCAAGAACAGCCTAAGCAACACAGTGAAACTTTGTCTCAAAAAAAAAAAAAAAAAAAAGGAAAAAGGAAAGAGAGTAGAGTAATCTGAAAGTTACGAGAGGGAAAGAAAAACACCCATCCCAGCTTTAGACCCACTTCTATGAGGGTGTGAGAGAGAAAACAGCTGCCACAGGATTTAATTGTAGAGTATTAAAATGAAAAGATTCATGGACATGAGTGATGAATGAACTGGGAGGGGCACCAAATTATATACTTATTTTTATTAATCCTTAGCTTAAGTCTAGTATTTCTTCTGTCTTGAATGTAAGTAACAAGCACATACCATACCAGCAGTATCTGTAATTTTTTCACTTCAGGAAGCCAAAAATTTTTGTCGTTACAGGTACCTCCTATTGTCATTTACTTTCACCACTAGTCTTTATCTGCCAGATATTTTTGTTATGTCAATTAAAAAGCACATAAATTCCTATATTATATTAACAATATATTTCATACTGCAAGAAAAAGGCATATATATATGGATTCCTTATACATTTCAAATATTTTTATTTCATGCACTTAAAAACATTATTCTGAAATTATAGCATGCACCAGACTGGCAAAGTAGTCCATTGAACAAAAAAGTTCCAGAACCTCGAGTTCAAATGAAGAAAATAAAGTGAACTGTTAGAGAAACAAATGAGAATATATGGCTTCTGCTAATGGTTTACTAGGGATCCCAATGGATATAGTGAAG
Source organism: Homo sapiens (assembly GCF_000001405.40). Lineage (NCBI taxonomy): Eukaryota > Metazoa > Chordata > Mammalia > Primates > Hominidae > Homo > Homo sapiens. The sequence continues at coordinate 11,346 of NT_187658.1, read as the reverse complement.
AGTTTAGAATGGGGTAGGAGATAAAGTCAGCAACTATTCAAAATATAAGTTGTCAGAAAATAGGACAGTATCGCAGTATCCTGTTCTTGATTTATAAATCTGAAGAGTATAGTCATTTCTCTTGATCAGTAATAATCAGTGGCATAACTCAAGGACAAATGCCTGTAAAAGATGTAAGGTTCTAAAGAATGGTAAAAAGTATTTAAACAAAGGAAAGAAAATGAAATTTAAGAAATATCTGCCTAAGTAGGTTTGTGTTTGCTCACTTCTCATAGAAAGACATACAGGAAATGATGTCATAAGTTTCCCAGTATTTCATCTGTTTTCTAGTAGAGACAGAAATAATCAATAAACTAACATTCTAGATTAAAGTGTTTCTGCAATGAAAATAGATGTTAAAGTCTGTCAGCTAGGATCCCTCTTTAACTTCTCAATGCTAAGATAAAATCCAAAGGGCAAATAACACATAAACTCACACACACACACAATACACACAAAAAAAACATATTCAACGGTGTCAAATAAATTGAGATCATTTGGGTTTTATTTATAGCAAGGAAAGATAAAAGAGGGTGGCATTTTAGTAAGTATAGGCCCTTAGGTAACTCTGGTCATATCCTATAGCATATTTTCGTTTACATTTGAATATAGGCATAACTTTCTTAAATTGATCAGTATTCCACACGGCTAAGGAAAAGAAGTGAGGTAGTGGGAAAGACCATGATTCAGAAGGCAAGCTTGGATTCTATATCTGGATTTACCAGGAATTTTTAATATGTCAGTTATTAATCACCCTCCTACATGATATATTTTCATCTTCATCTTTTCTGGACATTACAAATTGATCCCAGAGTAGTTCCATTTCCAAATAATAACCTTGAACCTACTTTATTCCCCTCCACAAAATTTTATCTTTCAAAAAGTTTAATTAAAATAATGAAATATTGCATTCCCTGAGATGTGAACATGGTGCGACCTTGTCTGTCAGTTGCATGCAAATCAATTTCTTTACTCTAGTGAAGTCCTTCTCAGAATATTACCTGTTTTATGGCTTTGGTCATGACAAGCACAGTGTGTATTTTTGAGTTGTATAATCTGATATTTCTTCAGAAACAAAATTCACAGAGAAGCATGAAAGAAACCCCAAATTTCACTGAATAGAATAACAATAGCTATTTACTTTCTCATAAAAATCTGCAAGATTAATTTTTATCTCTTTATTTTGTCTAAAACCCTGAACATATGACACATTATCTCATTAAATACTTTGTATTGTTGTGTTTGTTTGATAAGCAATATTTAATATTGCCTTAAAATTTAATATTAGTTTCAAAATAATATTTCTGGGAACTGTGTATTGCTGTGTGCCTTTTTCTATTATTTCAAATATGTTCTACTATGCCCAATGACATGTTTCAATATGTCCCAATGAAACAGTGTGTTTCCAATGTGTGTATAATTAGCATACTAATATTTATAATACACCTGCTGCCAAAAAATAGAGCTAAGAAAATTCAGAGCATGTATTCTTATCACTCAGTTCAGACTGAAGAGTCTTGTATATCTATCACGCTTTTTAGTTCCAAAAATATCACTTTCTTGCTCTTTGTCCTCCTCACTGTTCAGGCTGATCTGTTTCCATTCTAAAGATAAGTGACCAGTATTTTGACTATTTTTTCTATGTATGGAAGCTACATTCAGGTACAAAGCAAGAACACTCTAAGAAACCCTAACATCTAAACCAGAATTTTCCGTGTCTCATTTGCTGACAACACTACAATGTCATGTTTATTTCCCTCATTGTATCTTCAGTTGAGAAGACAAACACTGCAGAGCTTTTTGAGGATATTGGGAATTACCTAATTAATGTATTTCTCAATGCCCTAGTGAATGGAGTGTCCTTTTGGCCCTCTTAAGTCATATAATGGGGAGAAGGTGAAGTTCGCATATGATAAATTCACCTTAATACTCCTATCTTCCTACACCTTTAGATTCTTTCCTCTACATTCCACCAGTTATGCCATTTAAGCCTCATTTAATGTTAATAATAATTTGTTTAAAGCTTTAGTCAACCAAGCAAGCAAACTGGCCACACAAGCTAACACAGTAAACCTAGAATCTGTAATAGCAATAACTATGTCAATATACTAACAAGGATGGATAGTCATCCAGCAAATTAAATTCTAGCCATATTTTCCAAGTAATTGATACCTTCTTGAAGTTCCTGGTCAACAGCTCAGATTGATAAATCCAAAATATACAGAGCTTAAAATAAGAAAGAGTGTGCAAATTTAAGAAATCAGATCCATTCCCATTTGCATCCTAGAGGCTTTCAGTCATCACTGCACCAAAGGAAATTACTGGCCCCAATCATTGAAGTCTTTAGGCAGCTCTAGCCCAGAGCAGGACTGGCTATCTTCTTCATCTGCATCACAGCTAACAAAAAGGAGAGATAAAGACAACTATATCATGGTCTAAGAGGCAGACAGATACATTGTTCTTCACTGGTCAGCTGAAAGTCAATTCATCATCAGTGATATTCAAAAATCACAAGTCTTTGCTGGCATGCCAAGTGCAATAGAGGCAATATATATTATTTTAATTGCTGGTGAATTGACCATAGGGATTTGGGGAAATGGATTCATTGTACTAGTTAACTGCATTGACTGGCTCAAAAGAAGAGATATTTCCTTGATTGACATCATCCTGATCAGCTTGGCCATCTCCAGAATCTGTCTGCTGTGTGTAATATCATTAGATGGCTTCTTTATGCTGCTCTTTCCAGGTACATATGGCAATAGCGTGCTAGTAAGCATTGTGAATGTTGTCTGGACATTTGCCAATAATTCAAGTCTCTGGTTTACTTCTTGCCTCAGTATCTTCTATTTACTCAAGATAGCCAATATATCGCACCCATTTTTCTTCTGGCTGAAGCTAAAGATCAACAAGGTCATGCTTGCGATTCTTCTGGGGTCCTTTCTTATCTCTTTAATTATTAGTGTTCCAAAGAATGATGATATGTGGTATCACCTTTTCAAAGTCAGTCATGAAGAAAACATTACTTGGAAATTCAAAGTGAGTAAAATTCCAGGTACTTTCAAACAGTTAACCCTGAACCTGGGGGTGATGGTTCCCTTTATCCTTTGCCTGATCTCATTTTTCTTGTTACTTTTCTCCCTAGTTAGACACACCAAGCAGATTCGACTGCATGCTACAGGGTTCAGAGACCCCAGTACAGAGGCCCACATGAGGGCCATAAAGGCAGTGATCATCTTTCTGCTCCTCCTCATCGTGTACTACCCAGTCTTTCTTGTTATGACCTCTAGCGCTCTGATTCCTCAGGGAAAATTAGTGTTGATGATTGGTGACATAGTAACTGTCATTTTCCCATCAAGCCATTCATTCATTCTAATTATGGGAAATAGCAAGTTGAGGGAAGCTTTTCTGAAGATGTTAAGATTTGTGAAGTGTTTCCTTAGAAGAAGAAAGCCTTTTGTTCCATAGAGACCCCTAAAGAGTATCCTGACTACAAGGATGAAAGAAATCAACAAAAGGCATTCTCCCTTCTCTTGTTTGCATTCATTTTCTCTTATATGCTATTGGAAGTCATTAATATCTGTCATGATTCTGAAGATTTGTTTTGTGTTCCTTCACACTTTTGTCTTGTTTAATGGATAATCTAATGTTATCATTGCACCGTATATTCTTTGTCGTTGCAGAAAAAAAAAATGCATCTAAATCCCACACTAACATTTCATCATTTTATGTCATTGACTAAATACAAAGAGGTTCTACTTCTTTTCTGACAAATACTGGCAAAGGCCTTGAACTCAATGAGTAGAAGAATGTCAGGCAAACAGGCTTTGGGGAAAAGATTTTAGAACTCATCAACCCTTGCTATAAAATCAATCATGCAAAACAACTCTCTACTTTGAAATGAAGGCCGGTCCTTATCTTCACCGCCCTTTCCTCTCCATTTCTGGAAGGGTTTGTCTTGATCAAGAAGGGAGAAAAACAATCTTTAATGAGATTCTATCTAAGATGATATATGATGTGGGAAAAGGAGTATAATCTCAAGAATGAAAGTTTGACAGAGAGAGGAGGCACAGTTATGTATAGCAGAACCACCTTGAGAAAGAAGGTTGAGGGTCCCAGTAGTCAGCGTGTTCATGAGTACTCTAGCTGGTGATGGCAATTTTAGAAGTCATTTCCCAAAGATTCCCTGGAATGTTCTCTCTAGCCTTCTAACTCAGAAATCTCTGACATATTTTTTTCCCTCTGCATCATTTTCTTTTCTATTTTGTTTCCAGCAGTAGTTTATAGATAACTAGGTTTCTTTAAGTTATTAAGTTTATGCTTTCCTGTTACACATTACACACATGTAAGAAATAGAAAAAATCCTGCATGTGTTGTATACATTGTAGAACTATTTAAATACAAGAAGCCCTAGGGTATTGTGATTTGTATTACCTACATTCAAATGTATTTTGGGCTAAGTTGTACTTTCCCTTACCCCAAAACAAATAAATCTAATTTAATAGTAGAATTAGTCCTATTCCTTGGAAATACTGGTATGTAAAAAAAAAAAATTATTATTATTATTTTGAGACAGAGTCTCACTGTATCGCCCAGGTTGGAGTGCAGTGGCACGATCTTGGCTCACTGCAACCTCTGCCTCCCGGTTCAAATGATCCCCCTGCCTCAGTCTCCCAAGTAGTTACTTTTTTATGTGTTTGCCCTATCTAGAAATATGACTATAATATGCACTGTGAGATTACAAATCTTATAAAAGGAGTTGATTGGAACTAGAATAATGTAAAATTTAAATTTTCTTAATTTTAGATTACAATGCTTATTATACAAGAGACAGTGATTCAGGAAATGAATTGTCTTCAAGGGTATTTGTCACATTAAAAAAAAACTAAAGATAACAAATCTTTACCTGGCATATTTCACTTCTGAGGAACAATTGAAAAGAAAGCAAATTCTTAGTAAATATTATCATGTGCCTGCCTAAAAAAAAGTCATTTCTAATTAGATTTGTATTATATCCTTCCCTAATTAGCCGTTTAAATGAAGACAAGAATTATTATCCTCTGACTAAATGTTAAATATCTACAATCTAATTGTACTAATTACTTCCAAAGTGAAAATTTCTTTGCATCTGGGAGAACTGATTTGTGGCTTATTTATAACTTACATGATGAAAATGAAGTTTTATTTACACAGTTGGGTTTTTATTAAACATTTATCTCTTTTTTTATGACTCCCTATTCAAAACTCAATTTGAAGATCCAAATATAGAGCTACAGCAAGAAGCCTGTTGCAAATTCATGATATAAAATCTCTTTGAATTTGCATGGGAGCAATTTCAGCCAAACATTTCAGGTATCACTCACTAAAGGATAATAATTATAATTTTTCCAGGCTATAAATAACTAGTCAAGCTGCTCATTAGTTGGTTTCATCTTCAGGAGTGTAGAGACAATCCTATTTCAGAGGAGAGCTGAACACTTCCGGAAGAATAACAACGTCGAAATAACAGCAGATGAAAACATTATTGCATGATTCGAAGAATTGATCTATCATGCTTTAACAGGTCACCTGTAAATTAGCTCATCTACAGTGATATTTGAAATCAGATTGTTCTCTCTACAAACATGTTCAGTCCTGCAGATAACATCTTTATAATCCTAATAACTGGAGAATTCATACTAGGAATATTGGGGAATGGATACATTGCACTAGTCAACTGGATTGACTGGATTAAGAAGAAAAAGATTTCCACAGTTGACTACATCCTTACCAATTTAGTTATCGCCAGAATTTGTTTGATCAGTGTAATGGTTGTAAATGGCATTGTAATAGTACTGAACCCAGATGTTTATACAAAAAATAAACAACAGATAGTCATTTTTACCTTCTGGACATTTGCCAACTACTTAAATATGTGGATTACCACCTGCCTTAATGTCTTCTATTTTCTGAAGATAGCCAGTTCCTCTCATCCACTTTTTCTCTGGCTGAAGTGGAAAATTGATATGGTGGTGCACTGGATCCTGCTGGGATGCTTTGCCATTTCCTTGTTGGTCAGCCTTATAGCAGCAATAGTACTGAGTTGTGATTATAGGTTTCATGCAATTGCCAAACATAAAAGAAACATTACTGAAATGTTCCATGTGAGTAAAATACCATACTTTGAACCCTTGACTCTCTTTAACCTGTTTGCAATTGTCCCATTTATTGTGTCACTGATATCATTTTTCCTTTTAGTAAGATCTTTATGGAGACATACCAAGCAAATAAAACTCTATGCTACCGGCAGTAGAGACCCCAGCACAGAAGTTCATGTGAGAGCCATTAAAACTATGACTTCATTTATCTTCTTTTTTTTCCTATACTATATTTCTTCTATTTTGATGACCTTTAGCTATCTTATGACAAAATACAAGTTAGCTGTGGAGTTTGGAGAGATTGCAGCAATTCTCTACCCCTTGGGTCACTCACTTATTTTAATTGTTTTAAATAATAAACTGAGGCAGACATTTGTCAGAATGCTGACATGTAGAAAAATTGCCTGCATGATATGAAATCTTAGCTGTATAAATGGAATTTAAAACCAAATCTTCTCTAACAAAAAATATAGTTTTCTTAATAGTCTATTCTCATTTTTCCCCAGTTATCTCATTTATTTTGGATGCATATCTTTAAATATTATTAGGACCTAGTAGCAAACTACTGAATACATCTTTTCTATCCCTTTACAACTCAGAAATGCTCATCTTTACACTCCCTTTCCTCGAAGAATTTCAGAGCTCATGCTTCTCTTCTTGTCTCCTCAACGCAAGTGTTAGGCCTGTATTGCCTAGTTAAAGTCTTTTTAGATTTTACTTTGGCTCATGGTAAAGTGGACCTGAGCTACAGTAACTGGTTTCTCATTTTTCTTTGTCATACATTTTTATTGCCGCTCCTTAATTGTGCTCCTTTCATGGCTCTGCTGAGTCACCCCCATTTGGCTTATTGATTAGGAACTCAGATGTTCTCTGGTCTGTCTTTGGTTTTCCCGAATGATGATTTCCATGGTCTCCTAGGTAATATTTTCTGGTTGACCTTATTCTGATGATTTCTATTGATTTTCCTTGGAATTAAATTTCCTCTCAAACAACTTGCTTTTCATGCAGCACCTAGGTGGGAATCGAACCCATTCAAGTGCCACCCACCAAGGGGTGTTCCTAAGCCCTCTTCACAATCTGGATAAAAGAATGGGGATAACAAATATTAGTCAGACTGCTCAATCAGGTTCTTTTCTCTAACCAGACCCTGCAAAGGTTTTCACTCAGGACTTAACAAAAGAAATAAATTGGGAAGAAAATAGCGTATACCATGGAATAAGCACATACTGTCCCTGGAAGAAGAAACGAATGTTTACAAAAAATACAGATAAATTTTTATTAAAAAAAAAAGGAAAATAAGTCACTAAAATTTTTAATTTTTCTGTGAACATGAAATCCATCCTCACTATAATATTATTGAAACGTTTGGTCTGGCATATCTCAGGTTGTGTATGTACTAATATGGCTGTACATTATTGCTTTTACTCCCATTACTTTCTGTTTAATTCTGATGTATTTCAATCTACTAATTTCCTTTTATTATAACTAAAATACTAATTACCGGAAAATTATCAGTTGTTTGTCTTATTATTATGTAAAACTCACTCTGTAAAGTACTAATATTTATAGCCCCAAGTATATAAATTTTATGAACTATATTTCTAATATGCTAGCTGTATATGTTACTCTTTGTTTTACAAGACACAAGAATTCATGTTCTCTTGATGAAATATATTAATGTATTCTACAAAATACAGGTAGATTTTATACTAGGATGAACTTTATATTTTTCCTAAGGTTTAAGTGAAATAAACGTTTTATTGAATTAGTACTTTTGGGAAGGTTTTACCCCATTAGGGTTAAGTTTTTTTCTTCCATATTTTGTTTCCTGCCTCTCTAATGTTTCAAGCATCTCTAGTGACCACAGTGACTGGGGTTCAAAGTAGTAAGCTTTTGACAAAATGCTCTCTCATAGAACTTTTTTTTTAACTATATATTCACATAACTTCACGCTATACAACATTGGTATTCATAAAATCTACATTTATTTCCAAAACTAAACAAAAACAAGTCTAAAAATTATTTGAGAAAATACATCATCATAGTTCCCATGAGCACTTCATTTACCAGGATAAACTGTAGGGTAAAAATGATGAGTCTAGGCCAGGCACAGTGGCTCACACCTGTAATCCCAGAACTTTGGGAGGCCAAGGCACACGGATCGCCTGAGGTCGGGAGTTCAAGACCAGCCTGACCAACATGGAGAAACCCGGAATCTACTAAAAATACAAAATTAGCCAGGCATGGTTGCACCTGCCTGTAATCCCAGCTACTTGGCAGGCTCAGGCAGGAGAATCACTTGAACCTGGGAGATGGAGGTTGCGGTGAGCCAAAATAGCACTCCAGCCTGAGCAACAAGAACGAAATTCCATCTCAAAAAAAAAACAAAAGAAATGATAAGTCTAGGTCAGGGATCATATCCAAGATCGTCCTATCATAGGTGATGTTCCAGTTGCCTGTGAACATGGCTACATAATCATACAGATTGTCCAAAAGTTAAGGCTACATCTCCGGAATGATGGTTTGTCCTTTAAGGAAGGATAAGAGAAGACATGCATTCCCAGGAAGGTGTGAATACCCAAGAACTATTCTATGGAACCCCATGTAGTAAAGCGCTTCTCAGTAACTCTAAATTAGAGAAGCTATTTCAAACTAAAAATTCATCTCTAGAGATGTGGAAAGTTTAATCTTCAGTCTCCTGCTAGAAGGGTTGAGGATCTAGATACTCATGCAATTTGTATGGAGGACAGTGGAGAGAATGAAATACAGAATTTTACTATCTCCTCTCTCATGCATACAACTACCCTTGAGAACATTTTTTAAATTTTTGAAATCTTTATGAAAGTATAATTGGTATAAAAAGAACCGCATATATTTAATGTATAAAATTTCAAACACCCATGATATCTTCACCACAAACAAGGTAATGGACATATCTAATACCTCTCAAAGTTTCCTTGAGAACATTTTAAGTGAAAATGAAAAATTTAAGGTAATCAATAGTCTTTTTTTATTACAGGTCCTCTACCTTATTATATATAACATTGCTAAATAACCATTAAAAGTCATTTAGTCAGTAAGACAATGTGTTGTATTAAGAGACACTATGCCATGTAATTGTTCATCTGAACAGCCAAAATAATGACCTAAAGTTTCTTTGGAATCAAATAACCTACATTTAGTGTTAACTTTTTAAAGTTCCTGAAAATATATAACTCTCACTATGGAACCAAACTTTGGATTCTTTACTAATTATCAATATTAACATTCAGCAAAATAAAAATTCTTCAAGAACTTTCCAATTTTACCAGTTTTATACTTGCTACCAAATTCTTGATGTTCAGGTTGCCAGAATGGAACACTCAATCTAATTTGAACTTCAGTACTTCCTGAAAGCACTGATCTTAAGTAATCAGGGACATACACTAAAAAATTATTGATTTTTTTACCTGTAATTCAAGTTTAACTGAGTGTCCTGAATTTTTAGTCGCTAAATCTAGCAACCCTATTGAGGTTACTAGCATACATCACAAATTAATGAATCCAAAATGCGTACACCTTAGCCTCAGAAAGACAATGCAGGACCATGAAAGGGAATTGGCCCAATTTGCATCTTAGTAAACAGTAGCTCAGCCTAAATTAACCGTATGTGGAAAATTACAACCTGCTGAGTAGGTAAATGGGCATACAGTGGCCAGGCCAAGGATCGCCAAACACATTGTTTGTCAAGACTAATTAGGATTTAATGAAGATAGCTCCAGTCTTCATTTATCATTCCAGTCTCCATCACAAAACAGACTACAACAAAGAGGTAAAGAAAACTACATCAAAATCTAAGAAGCAGGTGTGGATGTCAAACTCCATCAGGTCAACTAGAAACTAATTGCATATTTAAACATGGCAGATAAAGTGCAGACTACTTTATTGTTCTTAGCAGTTGGAGAGTTTTCAGTGGGGATCTTAGGGAATGCATTCATTGGATTGGTAAACTGCATGGACTGGGTCAAGAAGAGGAAAATTGCCTCCATTGATTTAATCCTCACAAGTCTGGCCATATCCAGAATTTGTCTATTGTGCGTAATACTATTAGATTGTTTTATATTGGTGCTATATCCAGATGTCTATGCCACTGGTAAAGAAATGAGAATCATTGACTTCTTCTGGACACTAACCAATCATTTAAGTATCTGGTTTGCAACCTGCCTCAGCATTTACTATTTCTTCAAGATAGGTAATTTCTTTCACCCACTTTTCCTCTGGATGAAGTGGAGAATTGACAGGGTGATTTCCTGGATTCTACTGGGGTGCGTGGTTCTCTCTGTGTTTATTAGCCTTCCAGCCACTGAGAATTTGAACGCTGATTTCAGGTTTTGTGTGAAGGCAAAGAGGAAAACAAACTTAACTTGGAGTTGCAGAGTAAATAAAACTCAACATGCTTCTACCAAGTTATTTCTCAACCTGGCAACGCTGCTCCCCTTTTGTGTGTGCCTAATGTCCTTTTTCCTCTTGATCCTCTCCCTGCGGAGACATATCAGGCGAATGCAGCTCAGTGCCACAGGGTGCAGAGACCCCAGCACAGAAGCCCATGTGAGAGCCCTGAAAGCTGTCATTTCCTTCCTTCTCCTCTTTATTGCCTACTATTTGTCCTTTCTCATTGCCACCTCCAGCTACTTTATGCCAGAGACGGAATTAGCTGTGATTTTTGGTGAGTCCATAGCTCTAATCTACCCCTCAAGTCATTCATTTATCCTAATACTGGGGAACAATAAATTAAGACATGCATCTCTAAAGGTGATTTGGAAAGTAATGTCTATTCTAAAAGGAAGAAAATTCCAACAACATAAACAAATCTGAAGAGAAACTATGCTTTTCTAGGACAAACAAAGATAAGATGTTTCTAAATTAACTTCAGTTCTTGCATTAATGTTTTATGTGATTAATTACTCCTAAAACTTAATTAGTGTATCTGTAATTGTAATGTAGGGAATCTTATGTACAGCTGGCTGGATCTCTTTATCTCTGTCTCTGTTTCTGACTCTGTCTGTGTATCCCTGTTTCTCTCTTCTGTAACTCTTCCTTTCTTTAGAGTTGCTGTTTTTTAAAACATGTTTCAGAGCAAATAGAAATTAATATCCTAATATCAACTATCAAGAGTAGAGGGCATTTTCATAGT